>NC_000007.14:147791713-147943228 GCF_000001405.40 Homo sapiens
TCCCTGTGAAGCTGTGAGATGCCCATTGTGGGTTTCCTCTGTACTCATTGAGCTCTTACTTCTCTTCAGTTGGCAAAAAGAGGTAACTTCAGGAACATGCGCCATACACATGTTCTTCTCTACGTGGCCACATGGACAAGTCAGGCTTCAGCGAAAGGACACGGATGTCATTTCCTCATCAAGTCTCCTCTTCCCCACTGCTCCGTGTTGCCTGCCATTCCGGGCATAGAGCGGCTTGGCCCAGAAACCACACAAATGGGCCTTGTTGTTCCAAGGTGGGTCTCCTAGTGTTTCCCCTAAGGGCACCACCTAATTAGAAGCATTCTTTGCTTGGTCAGCTCTGCCTAAGTTCTACAGGGGATGTGGTCCTCTCTCTGTGCCCCTTCACCTGCAGCCTTGCTCTCAGAATCTTTCTCCACGTATTATAGTATATTATTCAGGCATTTCCAAATAAAGACAGAGTTTCTTTTTTAATAACAACTTTATGAAGATACAATTCACCACTGTTAATTATACCATTTAATGCTGTTAGTATAGTCACGGTGTTGTGCAACTATCACCACAATCAATTTTAGAATCGTTTCAGTAACCGAAAAGAAACCCCATACCCATGAATAACCATTTTCTATCTCCGCCAACTTCTCAGCCCTAAGCAACCACTTTCTGTATCTATGGATTTACCTATCTTAGACTTTGCATATAAATGGAATCATTGCAATATGTGGCATTTTGTGTCTTGCTTCTTTCACTTAGCATAATGTTTTTGAAGTCAATCCACGTTGTAGTGTGTGTGTGTGTGTGTATATATATATATCTTAGTACTTCATTCCTTTTATTGCTGAATAATATATCTCATTGTATGACTATGCCACGTTTTATTTATAATTTATCAACTGAAGGACAATTGAGTTTACATTTTTGCCTGTTATTAATAATGCTTCTATGACCATTCATCTACAAGTATTTCTGTAGATATATGCTTTTAATTTTCTTCATATATATTGATGAGTTGAATTGCTGGGCTATATTGTAACAGTATGTGTAGCCTTTGAGGAACTGCCAGACTGTTTTTCAAAGCAGCTGCACCATTTTACATCCCCATCAACAGTGTATAAAGGTTTCCATTTCCTCATATTCTTGGCAACATATGTTATTGTCCATCTTTTTTATTATGGCCATCCTACTCCAGGTGAAGTAATAATTCAGGGTTTTGATGTTAATTTCCCTGATGACTAATGATGGGCATCTTTTCATGTGTTTATCGGCCATTTGTTTATCTTACTTGGAGCAAGTCTTATTTTGATTTTTTGCCCACATTTTAATTGAATTATTAATCTTCTTTATTAATGAGTTGTAAGAGTTATTTACATATTCTGGTTTTATCAGGTATATGGTTTTCAAAAAATTTATCATCTGTGTGTTGTCTTTTTACATTATTAACAGTATCTTTTGACGCCCAAATATTTTAATTTTGATAATATTCAATTTATTTATTTTCTTACTTTGTTGCTTGTGCTTAAGTATCATATCTAAGAAACCATTTCTAATTCAAAGACATGAAGACTTACTACACCTATGTTTTCATCTAAGAATTTAATAGTTTTAGCAGTTATGTTCATGTCTTTAATCCACTTGAATTAATTTTGTATATGGTGTGAGATAGGGGTCAAACTTTATACTTTTGCATGTGTATACCAGGTGTAGCAGCTTCATTTATTGAAAAATACTGCTTTTTCCCCATTGAATTGTTTGGCACTCTGGCTGAAAATCAGTTGACCATAACTCTGAGAGTATATTTCTATTTAATTGATCTATATATCTATTTTTATGCCAATACCACACTGCCTTGATTACTATAGCTTTGCAGTTTTTGAAATTGGAAAGTGTGAGTCCTCCAACTGTGTTTTTCTATTTTAAGATGCTTTTGGCTGTTCTGAGTCCCTTGAATTTTCACATGAAATTTAAGATCAGCTTGTCAATTTCTACAAAGAAATCAGGTGGGGATTTAATACAGGTTGCATTAAATCAGACCTCAAGTTAGGGAGAAGTCCCATATAAACAATATTAAGTCTTTTGATCTATGAATATGTGATGTGTTTTCATTCATTCAGATTTTTGCTTTCTTTCAACAATGTTTGACAGTTTTTAAAGTATAGGTTTGTGCCCTTTTTGCTATATTTAGTCCTCAGTATTTTATTATCTTTGATGCTGTTGTAAATGGAATTTTCTCTTAGTTTTATATTTAGATTATTTATTGCAAGTGTATACAAATAAAATTGGTTATTCTATATGGATCTTTTATTCTGCAACTTTGCTAATTTTTAGTTATAATAGTTTTTAGTGGATTCCTTATGATGTTTTATATACAAGATCCTGTTATCTTTAGATAAATAATTTTAATTCTTCTTTTATAATCTGGATGTATTTAATTTATTTTTCTTGCCTAATTGCCATGACTAGAACCTCCTATAAAATTTTAAATTGAAGTGATAAGCACATACATCCTTGTCTTGTTCCTGATTTTAGGGGGAAGGTATTCAGTCTTTCACCATTAAGTATGATATTAGCTGTGGTTATTTTCTAGGTGTCCTTCACCAGGATGAAGACATTTCCTTCTATTTCTAACTTGTTGAGTGTTTCTATCATTAAAGGGTGTTGAATTTAGTCAAATGCTTTTTCTGTATTTATTGAGATGTTCATATGGTTTTAGTTCTATTCCATGAATATGGTATATTAGAGTCACCGGTTTTCAGATGTTAAACCAATCTTATACATTCATTTTATTCATGAGATATGATCCTTTTCATATATTCCTGGGTTTGATTTGCTAGCATTTCATTGAAGTTTTTTATACCACAATTCATAAGAGATTTCAGTATGATTTTTTTCTGGTGATGTCTTTTTCTCGTTTCAGCATGAGGGTAATAATAGCCTCATAGAATGAATAGGGATACCTCCTTTTCTATGTTACGAGTTTGTTTTGCAGAAATCACCAGTGAAGCTTGTACTTTTCTTTATGGGTAGTTTTTTTTTTAAAAACAATTAATTCAATCTTATTTGTTAAAGGCCGTTAATATATTCTATTTCTTTCTGGGTCAGTTTTGGTAGTTTGTATTTTTTTAGGAATTTGTCCTTTGCATCTTGTTTAATTTGTTGGCATATATTAGTTCATAGTTTCCCTTATCATCTTTTTTATTTCTGTAAAGTTCGTAGTAATACCCCATATTTCATTTTTGATTTTAGTAGTTTGAGTCTTTTCCATTTTGTTTTCTTGGTGAGTCTAGTTCACAGTTTGTCCATTTTATTGATCTTTTCAAAGAATTAGTTTTGATTATGTTAACTATCTCTGTTATTTTCTATAATTTATTTTGTATATCTCCACTCTAGCTTTTATTATTTTCTTCCCTATTCTTGCCTAGCATTTAGTTTGCTCCTCTTTTTTTAATGACTTCAGATGCTGTTTGCATGACATGTGTTTTTCCATCCTGTCACTTTCAATCTATCTGGTTTCTTTGAATCTAAAGTGTATCTCCTGTAAACAGCAAATAGTTGAATCTTGTTTTTTATTTTATCCAGTCTCACAATTTCTGCCTTTTAATTAGATTGTTTAATCTATTCACTTTTAATGTTTTTATTGACATATTTGTACTTATATTTGCCATTTTACTTTTTGTTTCCTATGTCTCATGTCTTTTGTTTCTCAATTGTTTTATTACTGCTTTCACTGCATTAACTAAATATTTTCTCCTGTTTGTCTTTTCATTTCTAATTTTATTTGTCAGCTTTCGTTGGTTTCAGGTGTTCAGGTGGTAAGGAGAAGCAGAGAAGACATTGCTCTTCCATTTTAAATTAGAAGTTATCTGTCTAAGGTCTTCAAGGGCAAATATTTCATAATACTTTTCTACCCCCATAGTAGATATGTGTGAGGTTCATCACAAATCCTCCTCTCCCAAACATCTTTTCAGTTTGGTTCAGTGACTGAGTCATTAGGTGCTAGTAAAGAAATCTGGGTTTTAATTCTAGCTCTGTTATTAACTAGTTGAATGATCATGGAATATTCATATAACCTCTCTTGGACTTATTTTCTGACATATAAAATGAGAGGGTTGAATTTGATTTTATTTAATTTCCCTTTTAGCACTGATATGCTAAATTTCCAGTAATACTGTGATCATATGGATCTAAATACATAAGCACATAAGCCAGGCAGAGTTAGGCATTTTGCTTCTTGCAATAGGCAATCTTATCTACAACTGATTTTGAAGCATAGGATTTAACTAGATCCACAATATAGTAAAATAATTATTTGGCCCAAACTACTCACTGGCCAGTAGCCCACAGATTATCCCCTTATGTGTAAGAGACCATGATTTGAGAATAGAAGGAAATACAGACTTTGAAGTGATTACAAATATAAGCTAGTCCAAGATGCCTCATGAGAATAAAAGCTTTATGTGGAGTCCTATATCTATGTCCAATAATTTGTTTAAAGGTATTTTGTTAGCAAATCCATTATCCATTGACTGTCTACAGTGTGCATACCTCTCAAGAGTGGCTTATGTACTATAACAAAAACACAGGAGACCCGCTCTAATTGGCCTCATTTTAAAATGAAAGGGAGAATAAACACAGTGGCACCTTTAATTATTAATGACAATTGAAGGAAGCCTTAGCACAAATAATCCCAAAGACATTTCTATTTGGCTTGGAATTTTAATATTGTTTTTGACAGATCTATTTACCTAATTATATTTTATCTAGGATAGTGTTTAAATGAGGTTCTGTTTGCTAAGCACTTACCAACAGAGCAGTAGAAGACATGGCTACAAAGTGTATTGCTTATAGCAGGAAGCTGGTCCAGGATTTATTAAAAAAAAAAAACATAAAACATGTTTTGTGAATTATCCATAACAAGGAATACCCTCATGCAGATAATCAACAATTGAATACGCATAAAACACAGATGACAAAAAAACAAGGAAGCTTCTCTATAACCAAGCACAGCTGGGCAAGGATGCACAGAGATGCTGCAGGGGATTCATGGGGTGACTGGAGTCGAGACAATTAGTCTGTAAAAGCTTCGTGCTGATGCCCTCCTGCAGCACATTTCCTTAACATCTTTAAAAATGCACCAGTCCAGCTGTTTCATGGAGCATCTCAGGCTTTTAAGACCTCCGTTTTTTTGTCTCATTCATTCTCTTTATTACCATTAACAAAGAGTGGGTCTTAGACAGCTGAATGTTCTACTTACTTAATGATCAAGATCGTGGAGATAGTTTCAATAATCTAATGGATAAAGAATCCAGAAATATCTTAAAGTTTGTGTTTTCAGGCTTATTCTCTGAGTGTCAGTCCCTCTCAACTAGTTCTTACTTAGTCCCACCCTGATACCATGCTGTCAAATTACTTGCTATTAACTTACAAATCACATTCTCCTGTTATAATTCTCGTTGAGGGAACATCAGTGTCCCCCCTAATTTCACCTACATGGTTACCTTTGTAAAAAAAACTATCTGAGACACCTGTGCTTATTCATGATACTGTATTATATTGAATGGTTTTAGACTTTAGTCTTCCTTTAGAAAAAATTCTCAACTTAACTTTGTTTCATGAATACCTGTTTACTTCTATATGTTGCATTTTAGATTCCCTTCAGACCAACTAAATATGTTCTTATTGACCATCAATGAAAAAAAAAGGTATCTAAAAATGGGAAGTATTTAAGACTTGTACTCAGTCAAACCCTACGTTTGAGGGTTTTTAAGCTGTTTGATAACAACCATCCTCTGCCAGCATCCCCCCAATATGTTTCATAAAATATTACTTACATGGAATTTTAACAGATATTTTGTCAAAATAAGTTTTAGAAACACAAAGTAAAATAATTTTTTTTTACACTTTAGGACTCTTGGAGCTCTGGATAGTATAATGTGCCTTATGAATCTTGAATAGAGGAATGTAATGTAATGCAATCTCCCAACATTTTTAATGCATATCCATTCTGAGAAATATCTTTTGTGTGATGTTCCAGCATAAATTACTAAAGGTGAAGAGATACATATTTGAGCTATAAAGACTAGATCTTTTTTTCCTACTTTCATTCCCAAATAATACAAAAACTATTCATCAAAATGTTAACACTAAAACAAATAGATTAAAAATTTCAACATAAACTGAAGAATATGGTAATGACACCAAGAAGTTATTTAAATCTTCAGTATCAATAATTACCCTTCAAATAACACTATGTTGCTACTCTGAGTACTTTTATATTCGTGTCTCTATCGTGGTAATACAGCCGTAACTTGTCTTCCCACTTAGACCGAAGAAAATTAAACTAAAAATGCGTTAGTAGGGCATATAGATAATGAATAATGTGCTCCTTTAGAAAATATTAACCATACTTCTGCCAAATACATTGTTGTCACAGTGCACGGAGAACTTCATTTCACAAGGCTTTTTGCAAGATTGATGGTGTAACTTGAGTAGGTTTGGCAAAAGGAGCATGCAAATTTCAGCAATATAATTACATCATTTTCCCTTATGGATACCACCCAACCGAGAAATAGATCCAATAGTCAGATGAGAAATTAAATACAGTACCAGCTTTATTAGTAGGTCAATTAGCATAGTTTTGGCTACAAGGAACAAAAATCACCAAATAAAACTGACTTAAAAGTAGGGTAATTTCTCATCTCAAATAAAAAGCTGTTCAGAGGTAAGTTTACTCCAGGATGTCAGGGCTCTAGAGATACAACTCAGTGATTCTCTGGGTTTTTGTCCTGTACGTAATGGCTTCATCCTTGCACTGGAAGTGAGATGGCTGTGTTAGCTACAGATGTAACATCTAGACATATAAACATTCAGAGGAAAAACAGAAACTCCACTCTTACTTAGGAGTAAGAAAACCAAACCTTTCCAGTAAGGCTTTCATGAATTTCCCTCTCATTTTATTGGCTAGAATTGGGTCACACACTCATTCCTAAATCCTGACAAGGGAAATGGATTTACCATGATTGATTTAGACAAATCAGACTATCCTGGATGTAGGGATAAAGGTATCCTCTCTTCAGCTACTTTAGAGGAGTCGATTTTGGGGGAAGGAAAAAGGAGAGCAGAGAATGAACACTGAACATAGTAACTGAGAGTGTTCACACTATTACCCAGCACACAGGGTCTCTGATGAAGTCTAACCGTGTTTTCCTCCTTGTTTCCCTCCATATTGAATTTATCCAACTAGATCGCAGGCAAAGAAGATGGATGATGGTAAGCTTGCTGAAGCTCACCTTCTCTCACCTGCCTACACATGCAAAAGCAGCCAGTGTAAAACCCCAGGCCTTCCCATAACCCATGTGCTACACAGCAAGAGAAAGAAGGAGAGTTTCAGGCATGAAAATAATAAGAGAATTCTGCCCTTATCTCAGCAGTTCTGTGAGTCACTTCTCCTCAGGGAAGAGCAATTAGAAGGATAGAAAGAATGGTAGACATTTACTTCCCAGAATATATTAGCAGAGTTTCCTTTTTCTTGGTGGAAACTCCAGGAGGAAAGATGAAGTTTTTCTTTTTGGGTAAAAGATGAGGTGAGGGGTAGAGGGGAAAGCACACTAGTTTTAGGTGCCATCAATAATCCTGTAGGCATTCATCCTGCAATCATGTAGTAAATCATAACATTTGTCATGCAGGGAGGTAGGTACTGGATGAGCATTGGGAAGAAGACGTGGTCCCAGCTATGGAACTCCAAATTCTGTGTCTCCAATGTGATATGGGAAGTAATTATAATATGTAAGCTATTTGTTATGTCTACAAAGCATTGTAAAAATGTATATTAAATTTAAAAAAAAGGCAAGAAATCTTTTTCCTGTTCAGTAGTTCCAAAAAGACTTTACCAAATAAATGAAATTAGTGCAGAATTTAGGAAGATGTATAGATTGTCATTAGTCAGGCTACAGGAAGGAAATCATTTCAGGCAAAGACAAGATCCTGAGTGAAGGCCCAGATGCATGAGAGCAGAAATTGTCTTCCAGAAGCTATGGGTAAACCTCTATGGTTCAAATATGGTGTCTAGAGTGAGACACATTGCTAAGGCAGAAAATCAGCCTGAAAGGAAGATTGGGTCAAGTTATCAAGTTTTTTTCACACCACTCAATATTATAGTTGAGGCAGAATACTATTTTCCTCTCTCCTTCCTGATCTTTGCCGTTAAATCTTTCAGTGGAAATTATACACAGTATGATATATGCAGTAAGGGAAATACTTAACAGGCCTCTGTCATGGGCATTTGTGGATGAGTACAAAAGAAATAGAAGATACAAATTCTTCACACAATAAATATATAGTATGTGTCAAAATTAAATAAGATAATAATATAAGACAATGAGGCAATAGTGCCATTGCTTGTGGCAATTTTTAAACTCCATTTTTTGAGCCAGTAGTGCCAAATTTTGTCTATACTCCCAAGTGTCAGATTCAATCATTCTGTCATCACATATTTATTATATGCTGTGTGCTGGATAAAAATCTTCATCGTTGAGGGAAGATTTGATTTGGGGATCCCTCCCAAAGTTATTTGTATCAAAGTCAGCTGAATAAGGTGGCTGATCATGATAAGGAATGCCATTATAGACTAAGACCCAACTGCAAGGAGGAAATGAGATTTTTTTTTTGACCTGTACACTGTGAAGCATAAAATAAGAACCATAAACTTAAGGCCATTTAAAAAGAGAATTATAGAAAAGCATTTTAAGCAAAGGCAGCTCACTTTAAAAAAAAAAAAGTGACTAACTTCCCACAAAGACTCCTTTGAAGGACACGCCTCATTTGGGTGTATAGATCTCCCTACGTTTGTTGCCATGAGCCTTAGTCTATCATCATCATACCTCAACTTAGCAAGTTCTATAGCATATGGAGGAGACAAAATTGCTTCAGCCATTTAGACAAGACTGAAATCATTGTGGGCTTCCGTGATTGGAAAAGGTCTTTAAAAAGCTTTGAACCCAGCATGGACCTTCACTGCAAATACAGTCATGTGCTGCATAATGATGTTTCATAATGATGGACCAATAAATGGTAGTATCAAAATATTATAATGCCATATTACTACTGTACTTTTTCTATGTTTAGATATACACATAGTTACTATTTTACCATTGTGTCACATTTGCCTGCAGTATTCAGTACAGTAACATACTGTACAGGTTTGCAGCCTAGAAGCAATGGGCTGTACCAGATAGCCTAGGTGAGTAGTAGGCTATCCCATCTAGGTTTGTGTAAGTATGCTCTATGATGGTCATACAATGACAACATCAACTAACAACACATATCTCAGAACATATCCCCATTGGGAAGTGACAAAGTGACTCTACTGGAAAACAAAATATTTCGTACAAAGCCTGGGATGTGTGCTCTGTTTATTATCACCTCAAAGAAGACTTACAAATTGGGAGAACTAAGATTTGTAAGAGTTCTCAAACATAGAGAGAATATTATGTATCATTATTATATATCATGCATACATTCGTGTATATTTACTTCTTAGAAACGTGTATCATGTATATGCATGTTAAATAGGTATGTAGTCTTTGGCAACTTCTATGAAGTTTTTTTTTTTTTTTTAATTTTTTTTTTTTTTTATTGATCATTCTTGGGTGTTTTTCGCAGAGGGGGATTTGGCAGGGTCATAGGACAATAGTGGAGGGAAGGTCGGCAGATAAACAAGTGAACAAAGGTCTCTGGTTTTCCTAGGCAGAGCACCCTGCGGCCTTCCGCAGTGTTTGTGTCCCTGGGTACTTGAGATTAGGGAGTGGTGATGATTCTTAACGAGCATGCTGCCTTCAAGCATCTGTTTAACAAAGCACATCTTGCACCGCCCTTAATCCATTTAACCCTGAGTGGACACAGCATATGTTTCAGAGAGCACAGGGTTGGGGGTAAGGTCACCAATCAACAGGATCCCAAGACAGAAGAATTTATCTTAGTACAGAACAAAATGAAAAGTCTCCCATGTCTACTTCTTTCTACACAGACACGGCAACCATCCGATTTCTCAATCTTTTCCCCACCCTTCCCCCCTTTCCATTCCACAAAACCGCCATTGTCATCATGGCCTGTTCTCAATGACCTGCTGGGCACACCTCCCAGACGGGGGGGGCGGCCGGGCAGAGGGGCTCCTCACTTCCCAGTAGGGGCAGCCGGGCAGAGGCGCCCCTCACCTCCTGGACGGGGCGGCTGGCCGGGCGGGGGGCTGACACCCCCACCTCCCTCCCGGACGGGGTGGCTGCCGGGCGGAGACGCTCCTCACTTCCCGGACAGGGTGGCTGCCGGGCGGAGGGGCTCCTCACTTCTCAGACGGGGCAGTTGCCGGGCGGAGGGTCTCCTCACTTCTCAGACGGGGCGGCCGGGCAGAGACGCTCCTCACCTCCCAGACGGGGTCGCGGCCGGGCAGAGGCGCTCCTCACATCCCAGACGGGGCGGCGGGGCAGAGGTGCTCCCCACATCTCAGACGATGGGCGGCCGGGAAGAGACGCTCCTCACTTCCCAGATGGGATGGCGGCCGGGCAGAGACGCTCCTCACTTTCCAGACTGGGCAGCCAGGCAGAGGGGCTCCTCACATCCCAGACGATGGGCGGCCAGGCAGAGACACTCCTCACCTCCCAGACGGGGTGGCGGCCGGGCAGAGGCTGCAATCTCGGCACTTTGGGAGGCCAAGGCAGGCGGCTGGGAGGTGGAAGTTGTAGCGAGCCGAGATCAGGCCACTGCACTCCAGCCTGGGCACCATTGAGCACTGAGTGAACCAGACTCCGTCTGCAATCCTGGCACCTCGGGAGGCCGAGGCTGGCGGATCACTCGCGGTTACGAGCTGGAGACCAGCCCGGCCAACACAGCGAAACCCCGTCTCCACCAAAAAAGTACGAAAACCAGTCAGGCGTGGCGGCGCGCACCTGCAATCGCAGGCACTCGGCAGGCTGAGGCAGGAGAATCAGGCAGGGAGGTTGCAGTGAGCCGAGATGGCAGCAGTACAGTCCAGCTTCCGCTCGGCATCAGAGGGAGACTGTGGAAAGGGGAGAGGGAGAGGGAGGGGGAGGGGGAGAGGGAGAGGGAGAGGGAGAGGGAGAGGGAGAGCTCTATGAAGTTTTATCAACCTGCACTTTTAAGGTAACGTGTAGGTTAATTTTCACTTCTCAAAACCCTCACTTCAGATAGAAAAAATAACTTCGGAAACAGCAATAATAATAGTAATAATTATAATAAATAGTCTAAATAATTGAAATGAAACCTAATAAACAGACAAAGGAAATGATACAAATGGAATAATAATGAACAAGAGAAAAATTTACGATTGTGAAAATTAGATTGTAAAATGGCTTTAGAGGAAAAGTACTGTAATTCACATTCCTACAGTTATTTGAGAGAAAGGGACCAAACCAGTTTAAAAATGTTTTTACTGAGAATTTAAAAACACCCTTTAGAAATAGAAATTCAGTTTCTGACTTTATTTAGCAAAAATTAACCAGCAAAAACCTTATGCCCCCCAAAATGTGACCTCTTTCTCTGTGGATAGTCCAGTGTTTTTCAGCCTAGAGCCTAATTCTGCTCTTGGGGGACAGGGTCCATGAAGCGCAACCCTGTGTTTTGTATTCATAGAAATGCAGCCAGCAAACTTGGGTATTGGATGAACTGGGCATTGTGGGTCACTCTGCCCGTGGACCTGCTGGTGGCACCGCAGGGAAAAGGTTAGAAACTGCATGTTCTCTGCCAGGCAGAGGCTCTACTCATGTTCTTCTAGGGAGTCTTGCCTTGTCATTTCTACCAGTCATAGACTGGGAGATTTGCTGACCTTAGAGATAGTAATATATTTCAAACCTCAAGAGGCAAGAATGATATGAAACAAAGGATATCCCTGGATTTCCTCTGGGGCTGCGAAAGGGAGTCTCCACCTGGCTCTGGAAGGCTATGTCTTGTTTCCATCCACTCCATTTAACTCCCACTTCTTGGCCTGCTTTGAGACTGTCAGCTGGGGGCCAATTACTGCCATTTAGAGAAGTGGATGCTTTAATGTGAATACTTGTCTGCAGGAACCACACAGAGACAGCTGCCTTATCTCACAAGAACCCTGTGTTGTTTATACTCAGTAATCTGCCACAGAGCTCTCTCCACAATGGGGAAACGAATCCAATTTATTCTCCCTATTGCCTGCACTTAATTTCTTTGACTCGTTTACATGTCTGTCTTTTTAAGTTGAAGAAAGAATACGAATGTAAGTTCCTCTGTGGCTAAGAGCATCTTTGACTGTGTTCTTAACAGTCTAAGACAATGGAGCAATAGTACTATTGCCTGAGGCAACCCTTCTGAGTTTTTCAATTTATTACCAAATTTTTAGATGAATTATGATCTAGTCTAGTTCCAGATGGTGCATCTAGATCTTTATAAATACCAGAAGCACTTACTTGAAAAGCTGCCAGATCTATAAAGGGATCTACTACTATGACTTGGAGTTTTTTCATACATTATTGTCTGTTTTCATAAATTGATAATTAATAGGTTCTCTAAAAGCCAAGCTGTTCATGGTTTAAAAACAGCTGTTAGCCATGAAAACTGTGGTGACATCTACTTACCAAGGTATTTCCAGAGAGACATGTAGAATCACACTGGAAATTCTGTACCACTCCCTGGTGCTCTTCTGGGCAGGGAGAGTTTACTCCACAATGCCACAAAATCTTATCAGATTACTCTCCTTTTGAAACCTTCCAAAGACTTCACACTCCATCTAAGATAAAACTCAGAGGCCCTGAGCATGACCTTCAAGGTGCTCACCCACTCTCTTGCTTCAGTTTTTGTTTTTTTGTTTGTTTGTTTTATTTTTAGACAGGGTCTCACTTTGTCACCCAGACTGGAGTACAGTGGTGCGATCTCGGCTCACTGCAACCTCTGCCTCCCAGGCTCAAGTGATTCTCCTGCCTCAGCCTCCCGAATAGCTGGGGTTATAGGCATGCACCATGACACCTGGCTAATTTTTGTATTTTTAGTAGAGATGGCGTTTCACCATGTTGGCCAGGCTGGTCTCAAACTCCTGACCTCAAATGATCCACCCAGCTTATCTTCCCACAGTGCTGGGATTACAGGCATGAGCCACCCAGCCCAGCCCTGCTTCAGTTTTTAACCTCACCACCTCCCACACCAAGCTATGTCCACAGTTGCCTTTTTCTCTGTTCTTAGAACCCTACATTGATGAGCATCAGGGCACTTGTCTCACCTCATAATCCAGTTATCCTCTGAGGCAGAATAGAAATCCAGACCTGGAATCTCCTCTTGTTTCTGCTTTCCAACAGCTTCCTCTCAATCAAAATGACAAATGATTCAATATCATTTTTTTTTTTTTGAGACGGAGCCTGAGTTTTGTTGCCCAGGCTAGAGTGCAATGGTGTGATCTTGGCTCACTGCAACCTCCACCACCCAGGTTCAAGCGATTCTCCTGCCTCAGCCTTCTGAGTAGCTGGGATTACCAGCCTGGCCTCGAACTCCTCACCTCAGGTCATCTGCCCTCCCAAAGTGCTGGGATTATAGGTGTGAGCCACAATGCCAAGCCCAGTATCATTCTTGATTAATTAGTTGCAACTTAAAGGAGTGAATTTTCTAAATATAAGATTATATCATCTAAAAACAAGGATAATTTGATTTCTCCCCTTCCAATTTGGATGAGCTTTATTTCTTTATCTTGTCTGACTGCTCTGACTAGGACTTTAAGTACCATGTTGAATAAAAGTGGAGAAAGTGGGCATCCTTGTCTTGTTCCAGATCTTAGAGGAAAGGCATTCAGTTTTTCCCTGCTCAGTATGACATTACCTATGGGTTTGTCAGATACAGCCTTTATTGTGTTGAGCTATGTTCTTTTGTACCCTATTGGTTGAGAGTTTTTTATCATGAAGGAATGCTGGGTTTTATCAAATGCTTTTTCTAGCCTCTATTAAAATGATGATATGGTTTTTGTCCTTCATTCTATTGATGTGATGTATCACTTTTACTGATTTGCATTTGTTGAGCCATCCTTGCATCCCTGGGATGAATCCACTTGATCGGGATGACTGATCTTTTTAATGTGTTGTTGCATTTGATTTGCTAGTATTTTCTTGAGAATCAAATCAAAATGGATTGAGGGCTTCAATGTAAGACCTGAAACTATGAAACTAGTAAAAGAAAACATTGGGGGAAATGCTTCAGGACATTGGTCTGGACAAAGGTTTCTTGAGTAAGACCTTAAAAGCACAAGAAACCAAAGCAAAAATGGAGAAGTAGGATTACATCAAGCTAAAAATCTCCACACAGCAAGGGAGACAATCAACAAAGTGAAGTGACAACTTACAGAATGGGAGAAAATATTTGCAAACTATTCAGCTGAGAAGGATTAGTAACCAGAACATATAAAGAACACAACTCAATAGCAAAAAGCAACTAATAATTGTATTTAAAAGTAGGGAAAATAGCTGAGTAGACATTTTTCACATACATATGCCCAACAGGTATGTGAAAAAATGCTCAACATCACTAATAATCAGAGCAAGACAAATAAAAAACCATAATAAGTATCATCTCACCCAAGTTAAAATGGCTTTTATCAAAAAGATAAAATAATAACAGATGGTAGTGAGGATGCAGAGAAAGGGGAACACTTGCCCACTGGTGGTGGGAATGTGAATTAGTATAGTCATTATGGAAAACAGCATAAAGGTTTCTCAGAAAACTAAAAATAGAGCTATTAATACTATATGATCCAGTAATCCCACTGCTGAATATATATAAAAAAGAATGAAAATCAGTATTTCAAAAAGGTATCTGCACTCCCAGGTTTATTGCAGCACTATTTGCAGTAGCCAAGATGTGGAAGCAGCCTTAGTGTCTACCTACATATGAATGGATAAAGAAAATGTGGTACATATACAAAATGGAATATTATTCAACCATAAAAAGAATGAAATTCTGTCATTTACAACAATATGGTTGGAACTGGAGGTCATTATATTAAGTGAAATAAGCCAGGCACCAAAAGGCAAATATTGCATATTCTCACTCATGAGTGGGAGCTAAAACAATTGATCTCATGGAGGTAGAGAGTAGAATGATGGTTACCAGACTTTAGGAAGGGTAGTGGGGAAGGAGGAATAAAGAGGTGATGGTTAATGAGTACAAAACTACAGTTAGGTAGAAGGAATGAGATGTAGTGTTTGGTAGCACAATAGGGTGACTATAGTTAACAATAATTTATTGTATATTTCAAAATAACTTGAAGAGTGGGATTGAAATGTTCCTAACACAAATTATATATGGCTGGGCATTGTGGCTCAAGCCTGTAATCCTAGCACTTTGGGAGGCTCAGGTGGGAGAATCGCTTGAACCCAGGAGTTTGAGACCATAGTGGGCACCATAATGAGACCCCTATCTCTACAAAAGAATAAAAAGTTTTAAAAAATTAGCTTGGCATGAGGGTGTATGCCTGTGGTCCCAGCTACTTGAGAGGCTGAGCTGGGAGGATCACCTGAACCCAGGAGATTGAGGCTTCAGTGAGCCATGGTTACTTCACTGTACTCGAGCCTGGATGACAGAGCAGGTCCTTGACTCAAAAAAAAAAAAAAAAAAAAAAACGAAAACAAAAAAAAGAAGAGGAGGAAATGATATATGTTTAAGAACATGGAGATCCCCATTAACCTGATTTTTATCATTACACCTTGCATGCTGTATCAAAATATTGCATGTGTCCCATATATATGTTCAAATATTATGTACCCATAGAAATTAAAAATAAAAAAAATTAAAGCTAAATTTTAAGTTTTCACTGTGTTCTCAGAGCACGTAGTCATTCTATCCATCTATCCACCCATCCATCAATCGAGTGCCTAGTACGTAACCTTAAAGTGATTATATTTCTTAGTAAGCACCTGCTGTATACTAAAGGTAAAAGTTATTGGTCTCTGTGCATATGTGGTTGAGTTTAGCAGATAAGGCAGACCAACAAACAAATCACTATATGATGGGGGAATAGATCAGGTTTTCTAGAAACATGAGTGAGAGCTTCTAATATGCCCTAGTTGGTGATGTGAGCGTCAGGACAGTTTTTCTAAGAGTTGTTTTGAGTTAAGCATTAAATCATGAATAAAAGATAGTTTGGGTTGCCAGATATTTATCAGGCTTTCATTGATGCCCCCTTAACATTTGCCAGTCATATGGGAAGTACTCAAAAAATGTTTGAGATTCATTCTTTAGTGATATGTTCACTTTCTTTTTTAAAAAAAAAAAATAAAAAGTAGTTTGAGACTTCTGTGATTCTCTGTAAATAAATTTTGACTTGACATGTCTGGGACCTTGGCACTGACTCTCCTGGGATACCTCAATTCCCCTCCTTTCCCCTTTCCTCTCTCTATATATACTATATATATGAAGTCCCATTGTCCTGGCCTCTCCATATGGCCTCTTTCTGTAGGATACTGGATGATATTCTGTACCTCTTTGCAATTTGTTAGCTGAGAGCCAGGAAAGTGAAAGCAGGAACTGCTGGGACCCATAACATCGAGGCCCGGAAAGGGCAGCGTCACTTCTATAGCATTATAATGATCAAAGAAAGTCACAGGCCAGCCAAGATTCTGGGGAGGAGAAATCAATTCCATCTCTCATGTATGTAGTGGAAAAGGGATTGCTGGTGGCTATCTTTGGCAACTATCTACTGCATTCCCTCCTCCTCAAATTACCTTATTCTTTCTATCCTCCCAAAGACTACCATATGTATATTTGCACTCATTCTCTAGATTTGACATAAATTGGTTGACACTAATGACACTTCCCTGTGTCTAACCCTTGTCCCCATCATCCAATTCTTTCTGCCCTTACCTGGCATCTGTAATTAATTTCTTTGCCTCCAATGTTACTTCTCTGTTTGGTAGTGCAATTGAAGACCACATAAAAATGCTGCTAGAATGCATCTCCTTTGTTAGCAGATTTAGTATTCTAATGTGAAATTCCTTCTCATCCTTTAAAACCCAGTTAAATCTGACTTCTATAAAGTCCTTATTGACTATCCCAAAGAAGAGGGGATTTCTCTTTCTAAAATTTGTAGTAATGTGTTTCTGGAATGTATTCTAGTTTTGACTATGGTTAGGAATACACATGCTTTACCTTTCTAATAATTTTGAAAACTCAAAGGCAGGCAGTAGGATATACTCATTTTTTAAATTTTCTAAAGCACCAAGATGAGCCCATTACATAGAATAAGTTGAGTTTTTGTTGAGTTGTCAGGGATCTGGGAAGAATGGTTTGGCTTTTAGGAGAGGTTCTCAGCCAACCAGGAAGGAAAAAAAAAATGATTCAGTGATTAGTGACAACAGCTTTACTTCTAGAATCCTCCCACCTACTACTGGCAGCACGAGCAGGCAGCTTGCCTTCCTGGGACGAACCTAGATGAGGTACAATGTGGCTGGAAAGCTCTCTAATACTGATCTGACATGGCATATTTCAGATTAATCTGTTTTCTCTCCTTGTTTCCAGTTTCAGCACATACTAATGCCATCTTGAATCTTACTTTTCCTCCCTGGCCCTCAGCTTCCCCATCTGTAAATAACAAAGGCTACTATTTACTAAGAACCTGCATCAGTGCCAGACACAGTGCTGGGCACTAGTGCTAATCCTCACAATAATAGTGAAAGGTGCATTTTTTTTATTTCCTCCTTTTAAATGAATATCAGATATGGAAAGGAAAACAACTTGCCCAAGCCCTCTCAGCACAACTGGATTGAAACTCATCCCCCATGAGTAGCATCAGGGTCAGGCCAGATAAGCTGTAAATTCCCTTAGCCTTTACTATGCATCTCCACCAGGATGTAAAATACAATCTGCTGTTTGTCTTCCACCTTCTCCTAGACCAGCTTTTCTGCGTCATTATTTTTCTTTTTTGTCTTCAGCTGCAGTTTCTCTTATCAGTTATTGGCTCCACAACTAGCAAGTTTATTTTTTGCTCCATATTGTATTCTGGTGTGTTATGCTACAATTTGTATAGGGAATGAGACACAATATGGTTTGCTAATGAGAAAATCTACACTGCAGAGACAGAACCTATTTGTTCTCAGTTACTTGAAACGTATGTTAGAATGTAGAATCTCTTCTTCATTCCCGTGTGAGGTGCTGAGGAAGGCTGGAGGGGTTCTGATTCAGTCACATTTGATTTTGGAGTCAAGGTCTTGGCTTCAACTCATATTGAGTTTTACTGGAAACTGCCAGCTTTGTTTTGGGTAGACATTTGTAAATGTGACAGAACAGATGACTCATCTCAAGCCAGCTCTATGCTTTTATTCAATGTGTGCTTAAAAAGAGTAAACGTGGATGTTGGAAAGTATTTTCTTGTAAGTACTTTGTATGGCAGATGCCAAGTACTGCTAAACCTAATTATTTAATTCTTCTTCTTAAATAGATATTATTTAGTTTTAATTTTTAAAAACCTTCAACTATATAATTGATATATATCATATATATAGATATAGATATATATCAATAATATAATTTTACTTTTTAGCACACCAGAAGCATATTATTTTGGAAGATCATAGGACTCAGAGCTCTGGATAGGCAAAGTAGACTTGGATTTACATTCTCTGTGATCTTAAGAAATCTACTTTCTCCCTTATTTTCACTTTTCTGTACTAAAAAAAACAGCTGTACTAACATGAATAATATGTACCTCACAGGGTTCATGTTGAGGACAAAATTATTAATAGATAATATGTCAAAGAGCTTGCCATATAATCAGTAGGTTCTTTCCTGCCATGGAAAAATTTTTTTAGTCAGAATAGGTCTCAGCCAACCTCTTTCATGTTCCAGAATTTAATGCATACTTGCTGATTCAATACAGGTAGAAAGTTTAATATTAATTTTTATTTTGTTGGCTTTCTAAAAAAGCAGTCTTTTCACATTAGAATAAGTGAATGAAAGAGATCACTAAAATCAAAAGTTGTTACAAATGTTATTTTGATTGCTATGATTTCAAATGCAGTTTTATCTTCTTATAAAGTTAAAATACCCAATTTCGTTTTTAATTTATTTGGAAACAACAACACGACTGGTTGAATACTCTGTCTAAAGTAATCTCTAACAAAGAATGACTGAAGTTCTACTCTACCAATGAAAAGCAAGAACCGGGGTTCCTCCTTTCTCTTTCTGTGGTATGGGAGCTACATGAAGGCAGAATAAAAGAGTCAGACTAGGCTGGGAATCCTGTTCAAGAGAGGCACTCAGTTACAGTGTACATGTCAGAATTGATTGATAAAGTTACTAGGAAGTAGGCATGTAACCTTAGTTAGTCTTGTTCTCCAGTTTTCAATAAAATGTGGACTATACCTTTGGGGGTTGTGTTCATTTGTTTGTTTTTAAGACAGAGTCTTGCTCTGTCACCCAGGCTGGAGTGAAGTGGCACAATCTCAGCTCACTGCAACCTCCACCTCCTGGGTTCAAGCAATTCTCCTGCCTCAGCCTCCCAAGTAGCTGGGACTATAGGCACGTGCAACCACGCTCAGCTGATTTTTTGTATTTTTAGTGGAGACGCAGAGTTTCACCAAGTTGCCCAGGCTGGTCTCGAACTCCTGAGCTCAGGCAATCCACCCATCTAGGCCTCACAAAGTGCTAGGATTACAGGCATGAGCCACCATGCCCAGCCTACTACAGTATTTTTAAAGAAGAGCAGTTTCACAGTGTCACCAAATCATGGCTTTCAGATCCAGAGTTACAAATTGCCTCCCAACTCAGCAGTTCTTGAAAATATAATATTACCGATGTTTGGCTCATGAAGACTCCCTAGAAGCCCAGTGTCCCCTAGGGAGGAAGTGCCAAATTGAAAATTTTTAAATAATCGTTACTGTATTTTATAGCAAATAAGTATATGATTATCAAATATGCTTAAACCCTTTGGGAAAGAGGAGCTTGAAAACACTGTATCCATCCTTTGACAGATCCATTTAGCCTAATTATTCAATGATCCCCATACATTTTACTCGCATTCTTGACCCAAATAATTCAGATTATATTTGTATGCTTTTTGATATCCTTAATGTAAAAAAAATTCTTGATTCTTTTTCTCATTCATTCAACAAATACTTGTTGAGTGAAGACCATATTCTCCATGAGCAAATAAGTAGAAGAATCTCCATGTGGGTCCTGCATTCTAATGGGGAAAGAGAGGCTGATAAATACTAAACGCAAGAACATTAAGTAGGTACTATGTCAGTAAACAAAGTATAGAGTAGATTAGAAGGAAAAAAATCAAATAATAGCAATGTTAGGGGCGAAGGAGCCTGGAGTTGTGAGGATGGCTTATAATTTTAAATAGAGTTGTGGGAATTGGCCTCAGGAAGGAGGTGACATTTATGAGAGAGTTGGAAGAGGTGCAGGGATTCACCATGTGACTATGTGGGGGAAGAACATTCAGATAGGGAGAGCGGCCAGTCCAGAGGCTCAAGGCAAGTCTGTGTCTGAGATGTTCCAGGAAGAGGAAGGAGGCCGGTGTTCAGGAGTAAACTTTGTAACTTAGTCTTTCTTTTCTCACATTAGACTTTTTCGTTGTTGATGTTTTACTTTAAGGAAATTTATTTTTGCAAAAATATGTACTATTTGGTTTGTTAAAATAACATCTAACTCTTGAAAGATCATTTACCTTGATAGAGGCATTCATCTATTCTGTTAGGAAGAAGCACAGGTCAGCCGGAGATGTTTACAGTACAGAGTTCTTATATAAGTAGGAAAAAAAAAACTGTAATAATTTAAAAAGTAAAAAAAAAAAAAGTCAATACAGGACCTGCCCCTTCCTAGACAATCACAACGTGTCCACTCATTCTACTTTCAGCTGCCCCCTCCCCACCCTATCCGTTCAATATCCTGCCACTCTGGCACCATCCCAGCCACAAGGCCTCAGGTCCTCTCTCTGCTCTCGCTGGTTTTCAGAGAGGCGCTCCTCAGAGAGAGTTTCTAGCACTAAAGGATAAGTGATTGTTATGACAATATACTTCTTTTTAAAAAATGCTTGTTTCATCGGAGAATTTTGGCTGGCTATGGGTAATGGAAGAGATTTCACATAAAAGTTGAGTCCCCTTCTCACAAAGCAAATGAGCACATGATGGATCAAGGTGCTCTGCTGGTGTAGACTAACATATATTAATAATACACACATACCTATTAAGAGATCTGTGTCAAGGAATATACATGTAGTATATATTAAAGACATCAGAATATAAGACAATAAATTAAATTACCTTATAGTCACCTGGCTTCTATGGAGCAAGGAGAATTTAATTAAACCACAGAATCTGAGAGAACATTTGATCCTTGGTTGATGCTAAAAAATTGTTTCACTATTTGAAAATAGTTTCAAATCATTTCACTATTTGAAAAAAAAAAAAAGCAAGTTCAGATGGGAGATGGACTCATAGCTTATACTATGTCGAAATGCATTAGGAAAGATTAGTTTAAGATTTCATGCCAATAAAATAACTTTACCAAAAACTACCTTTATGGAGTACTAGTCTCACCAGGGGAAGTTCAAAACATCACATTTTTTACCAGGAAGTTGATGCATTCCCTTGGCAAGTCAATGGGATGGTTTATGCCTAGAATCTCAGAGAAGAAGAAAGCCTTTTTAGATGAAAAAGATAGTCATATGTCTCCAAACCCTCATGTGTATTTATGTAGTGGAGAGGAAACTAATTGAAGCAGAAGGTAGCTAGATTTTTAAATGTAATCATTAATAGTCTCACAGTTGTGTTGATAGCATCCAACAGGGTTACCTTCTGGGCAGAAACACAGATCACTCCTACTGTTCTTGGAGAAAGAAAAAGGAGGAAATGAACACATGCTCACTGAACCTCCTAGCAAAAAAAGTCTCTCTAGAAATATATGGTCCACTCCCAAGCTCACCCTTTAATTCTCCAATGTTACTTCTGTAAAATAGCAGTCCTGTGATATTACTCACTGAACAGATGAAATTAAAATATTTATATTCTGCACATGCACGCACGGAGGAAAATCTCACTTCAATTATAGCAGTTAAGAAGTCTGAAGTAATTTTCCCAGCTAGCATTTGGCCATTCCATTGAGATTGAAGGAATCTGGTATGATGATGGTTCTTATTAATTCACCCTCTCTTCGTTTTAAAAGAATATTATAGTTCCTTTGTGATGTAAATTGTTTGGGCAATATGATGGTGCACTGCCTTGTGACTAAAAAGTCGACAAGCTCAAAGGACAAAGTATTCAGGAACAATAGCTAACATTTACTGTTCGGCACTTTTTAAATGTTCTCGGTAAGATAATTTTTATTTCTGATTCACTTTTCTTTTTGCCTTTCCAAAAGGGATTTAAGTTAATTACTTTTTCTAATGTGACTTTGATATTTCAGTCCCCTCAGATCTTCCAAGGAATTTACAGGTGAAATACCATTCTAGTTCTTTTATTTTCCTAGAAACTCTGATATTAAATATGGGTGTCACACTGGAAAATTCCACCAGAATAAAAAGCTAAACAAGGCATAAAATTTACATTAGTAACATCCCATTAAACCATCATCTAGAAAGCTTTTGTTACATGATTTTCATCATTTATTAAATTATTTTGGTGTCTTTTCTGGTCTTTTTTGCCTGTAGGACTGAACCTTGTTATGCATTTGTCTCCATCAAAATGGTGTAGCTGCATTTGGCATTATTCCTTCAACATTCTTCTTTATTTTTTCCACAGAAGATGAAATTAGCTTGGTTTAATAATAGTCATTCCTGATTACTCTCTCTGTGGAAAACAGCTTAAGAGGCACATTATTCAATTAAAGAAAGTATTTGCCTCGCCCTTTAAAACCTTCATTTTATATAACCTATTGATTGTGAATCCAATTAGTCTTACATATTAAACTTTTATTACTTTTAGTATAGCACTTTTACATGCCATCGGGAAACTCATCACCATGTAAAATGCATGTAGTTCCTGACTTTCAAACAAGAGGTATTTCAGAAGATCACTGCTAAGTCAGTGTTTCAAATTTGAATATACATGTTCATCCTATAAATGATCTATATTCAGCCTATAAATGATGACATGATTATATATATAGTCGTCCTACAAATAATCATCCTATAAACAATTATTGGGTTCCTGGGGTAACAGCAAAGCAAAATAATTAGAACATTTTTGTTAATAATATACCTAGTAATAATAATGTAGCTGGGAAAATAATGAACAAAATAATATAGCTGAAATAGTAGTCCTACGTTTTAGGGACAAGGTTAGAAAGAAGAGAGCACCAGGGGTTGGAGGGAGAGAGTGGTTCCTCATATACACTGTGATAACTCAGATAGTCTGCAGTCAGGAAACAATTGGTAATCCATTAATTAGAGAGTATGATGCCCTTTTATGAAGTGATAGTGTAGACACAATAGCAATATTAATTAGCTTTCCTATTGCTTCCATAATAAATTAGCACAAGCTTAGTGACTTAACCCAAACTTATTATCTCACACAATTCTATAGGTCATAAGTCTGAGTTGATTCTGCTGGTTTCTCTGTTCTGGGTGTTAGGAAGATGATGTCAAGATGATTAACAGCTGGGCTGTGGAAAGAATCTGCTTCCAGTCTCATTCAGTTTGTTGGCAGAATCCAGTTCCATGTGACCATAGGACTGAAATTCCTATTTCCTTGCTGGCTGTCAACAGGGAACCAGCCTCTAGTTCTTGCATGTGGGCCCCGACATCTCAGAGCCAGCAAACATGGAATCCTTCTCAAGCTTGGAATCTCTTTGACTTTCTCTTCTTCCACATCCTTCTTCTGCTTCAAGCCAGAGAACACTCTCTACTTTTAAGGGTTCATATGATTCAATATGTCCCACCCAGACAATCATCTCTCTATTTTAAGGTCTGTAACCACAATTTCGTGTGCAATGTCCATTTTGCCACCATGGAATACAACATATTCACATATTCCAGGGATCCAGGTGTGGACATTTTTAAAGGGCCATTATGCTGCTTATCACAAATGTAACATGTTTTGAGTTGTTCTTCAAGGGTTCAATCCACGAATAGCTTGTATGCACAAAAGCACTTGTACAAAAGATGACCACCAGGGCTCCGCGGGCTGCCTGTGTCACAGAATCGAGTGATGTCCACTGGCCTCACAGTTCAGAGCTCACCAGTACTCTCTTTCAGCAGTTCTTAATCTTATTTCCAAAGATACACCCCAGATATCCTTTCCTTGTGTTTACATATTCTCAGACTCTGGCTGCTGTGTTAATAAGTGGTGTTGAGACTATTGCTTAATGTACAGTGAAAGAGTTAAAGTGATTTTGTATAAAAATGCAACGATCTGTTTCACTAACATTGTCCCAAGCAACAGCATGAGCAGTCGTTTTTTATATTACTTTAACAGAATTTCCCATCCACACAGGAGAAGTTCATCCTCTCCATTTTCTTAAGAGTAGAGAGTGTCTTTAGCATCTCAAGGTTTCTGTGGATCACCAGGAGCCCTGCCTTGGAGAGGCTCCAGTACACAGGTGTTACTGAGCTGGAGGGCTTGAGAGAGGGGACCATTCTGAGGATGGGGGATGGAGAAAGAATGTTACCAAGGTGAACGGAAAGGTAGCAAAGACGGGTATGTACGGGAAGGTCTGAGATTGCTGTTTGGAATTGATTTTTCAATTATTAATTTTTTCATGTATTCTGATATGATGAAAAAAATGACAGAACACATTAATCTTATGGAAATGTAGGGTAAAAAAGAGGATTTGAGATTGGAATTATTCTGGAAACCTGGATCTTGAGCTAGAATTTTAAAAATAATGGAGATGGTTAGCCTACAGTTCGGTTTCTGCTTGGGAACTCTTTTTCAAAAATTCTCTGGAAATTATTAAGGCACCAACTACTTGCTCTGAAAATTGATAATTAAAGGGGAAAAAACTAAATATTTATTCTGACTTTAAAGGGAGTTATATTTTTCAGTAATCAAAATAATCACTTGATGATGAATAGCCTTTTTTATGGAAATATTGCAGTTCATTAATGTGTAAGAATAAAACTCACCATTTTGCAATGTTAATAAAATAACTGATCAAAGCAACGTTCATCAGTGATTAAATCCTTTGGATAAAATATTAAAAAGAACTAGACAATAGAGGGACTAGGTTTTCATTATAACTAGAATTTGGAACCCTAGAACTTATTTTTTCTCTTAAGATAATGTAACATAAAGCAGACTGCACCATCTATGAAGCATTTCTGTCAAAAGTTGAACCTAAATCTAATTGAGCCTTTATCACTTACTTCCAGCCACCAGGAAATAGAGAGGGAAGGAAGCAGTTAAATGACACCACAATGAAACAAACAGAGAAATCCAGAATGAAGGACATTTTATAGGACTACTGACACAGTTTCTGCCAAAAGTTAATGACATGGGAAAAAAGGAGAGGGGAAGAAGGAGGAGCACAGCTGTAAATTTAAAAAAGAAAGAAAGAAAAATGACTTGGGAGATTTACCAAATACAGTATTTGAATCTTAATTCGAGCATATCAACTAAGAAAAAGACATTTTTGAAACCGTTAGAAAAATTTTAGTATGCACTAGACATGATTCCAAGACATTATTGTTAATATGTAGGTGAGATAATATCACTGTTATCTTGTGAGACAATGTTTGTGCTTTTAGAGATGGATACTGAAGTATTTTAGGTATGATGTTACATGTTGCTGGGATTTGTTTTAAAAATTTTTAGCAAAGACAACATATATGGCGCAGTGTATATTGCTCAGTTGATGGGTGCACCAGGATCTCACAAATCACCGCTGAAGAACTTATTCACGTAATTAAATGCCACCTGTACTCCAATAACTTATGGGAAAAAATTTAAAAAATAGCAAAGAAGGCCGGGCGTGGTGGCTCATGCCTGTAACCCAGCACTTTGGGAGGCCGAGGTGGGCGGATCACAAGGTCAGGAGATCGAGACCATCCTGGCTAACATGGTGAAACCCTGTCTCCACTAAAAATACAAAAAAAATTAGCCGGGCATGATGGTGGGCGCCTGTAGTCCCAGCTACCTGAGAGGTTGAGGCAGGAGAATGGCGTGAACCCAGGAGGTGGATCTTGCAGTGAGCTGAGATGGTGCCACTGCACTCCAGCCTGGGCAACAGAGCGAGACTCTGTCTCAAAAAAAAAAAAAAAAAATAGCAAAGAAAAAAATTAAGCAGATGTGGCTTATTTTTGCTGGAAAATTAATGAATCTAAATGATGAGTTTATGGGGATTCATTATATCATCTTTTCTGTATACAATTGGTAGTTACAGAATTTTTCATTAATTTTTTTTTAAAAAAATCAGTTATTCCCACATAACTGTATATCTTAAAACCATTGTTTTCTACAAAGAGGTATAATATTATTGTGTGGTTGCTCTGTGATGGTACGAGTAGGCATCCTTATTTTATCAAGTATTGTCCTCTTAAATTGCTTGGTTTCTTATCATGGTGGTCTAATTTCTTTGAGGCTCTGTATCTCAGGCCTATGTTCATTGATAAAGTTCCTTTCTCTTTGAAATTCCTATTAATAGACAGTCTTCAATCAAGAACATATTAGTTCTGCTAATACAATTTATATGAAATTTTACCCTACTCCATAATTTGCAGAAGCTAATAGTGTACTAACAAGGGAGCAGGAGCAATAATTGATCATATTTGCTTTCCCTTAGAGAGAAGTGCAGCCATCAGTCTTAGAAGACTGATGTAATGAGTGCCAAGTGATGGATGCCCCGTGCACTCACGATTGCTAGATCTCCCATGGGTGTCCTAAAAGGAAGCACGTGGTCTGTTGGGAGATGCAGACAGCAGAATTATTTGGAAATAGGTGGAGCCACTGTCAATGAGAGACGTTTCCCCTATCTCTATTTTAAAAAATGCAATTCTATCTTAATCCCTTCCTTTTTTCCTCAAAAATTTAACAATGCTAATTCTAAGCTTGTGTGCACTTTTCCCAGTGGTTAATTATAATCCTTTTCTTTATTAGGTTTTATTTTGCAGCCTTAAAAAATAAAAAGAAATTAACAAAATGGCTTAAAGGCAAAATTAGAGCAAATCTCATTTTCTTAGGAGACTCTGCATTTCATTTATTGTTATAGTTCTTACTTCAGAGACAGGGAAGGAAGAGAAGGTAGCTTGATAGTAAAATAATATCCTTCAAGGTAAATTCCATGAATGTTAAGTCAAGCAGAACTTCTATTTTTGTAGCATTCTAGAGACATTGAATCCAGTTTCTTGATGTTTCTTGCCGCATTTCTCACTCTGTTCTACAGAGCAATTTGGTTTACAGGTAATTTAAGCTTGGGATAAAGCTCTGGTTAATTCAGTTTCTGGATAAAAGAAAGAGTAATTCAACTTAAAGATCACCATAGAATTTTAATCATAGAGATGAGAAAGCAAGGAAAGGCATAAACCTCGTTAGTGGTATAATGGGAAAAGAATTGTCTCAGATAGATGGTTCTAGCTCTTGAAGTTTTGCTGTAAGCTGTACCAGCACTAGAAAAAAGGTACAATGGGAAATGCAGACCTTTAGTTTTGTCCACCTTCCTGATGTTGCCTTTTTCACTTCAGCTTTTCAACAACGTTGCTGAAAAGGTCTACCAGTCAGTGCCCATTATATATACGTTTCTCTTCCTTTCTCCAATCCCATCTAAATAATGAATTCTGTATTCCAGATCTTGATCCTCATTTTAAACATTCATTTCCTTTATTTAAATTTTACTTATATTGTTATTACTTTATACCTTAAGATATTATATTTTAATTATAGTGTTTTTATTGAAATGTAATTTTTACATCATGAAATGCAGACTCTAAGCACACAGTTTGGTAAATTTTGACAAATGTATACACCTGTGTATCCCACACCCATCAAGATAATAGAACATTTTCATCAACCTAGAAAATTCTGTCATGCCAATTCCTAGGTCATCAGTGCCTTTCAGTTCAAAGGAGAATGTAGATCTGATTTCCATCAACAGATTCATTTCACCTGTTGTGGAATTTTATAGAAATAGAGTAATACAGAATATACTCTTCGAGGTCTGACTTTCTGCATCAGAAAAATATTTTAGAGTTTACTCCATGTTGTTAAATGGTATTTCATTAAATAACACACCTCAGTTTATTCACCTGTTTTTCAGTTTGTGGCCATTTGGGATGTTTCTAGCTTTGAAATATTGTGAATAAAGCTGCTATAACATTTTTGTATAAATCTTTTTATAGATCTATTTTTTTAAAATTCTACCTAGGAGTGGAATTGCTAGGTCATAAGGTAGATATATGTTTAAATTTATAAGAATCTGATAATTTTCCAAAGGAGTTATACCTATTTACATATCCACCAGCAAAATAATATAGTTCTAGTTGCTTTTCCCTTACCAACATTTGGTGCAGCCGTCAGAGTTTTAATTTTAATTTGGTCCATTCCAGTGGGTGTACAGTGATCTGTCATTATGGTTTTAATTTGTATTTCCCTGATGATTAATGATTCTGGGCACTGTTTTATTTGCTTATTGGTTATTGCATGTCTTTTGTTGTTTAATGTCTGTTCAATTTGTTGTTTAATGTCTGTTTAATGTGTCTATTTTTTCGTTGCTGCTTTATTGAGTTATATAAATACTTTATTCTGAATCTAAGTCCTTTGAGATATATATTTGAATGATACATTTCCTGCCGGTCTATGATTTTATGATCTGCCTATTTATTTTCTTAGTGGTAATATGTCAAAGAGGAGAAGTCTTTAATTTTGATTAAGTTCAATTTAAATATTTTTCTTTGTGGCTAGCACTTTCTCTGTGTTATCTAAAAAAGCTTTGCCTCCCCAAGTTCATAAAAAATATTCTCCTATGTTTTCTTCCAAAAGTTTCATAATTTTAGCTTTTAGATTTGTTACTGATCAATTTCAAATTAATTTGTGTATCTGGTGTGAGGCAAGGATCAATTTATTCATATTAGATTATTCAGTCATTTCAGAAACATTTGTGAAAAAAACTTAAAATGACTTTCCTTAATGAATTCCCTAGGAACCTTTGTTAAAGATGAATTGACCATATAGCTGTGGGTTATTTCTAGATTATCTTTTCTGTCCCATTGATTTATTTGCCTATGTTTATGGCAGTGTTACAGTACCTTCATTTCTGAGTTTTATGGTAAGCTCTTTAGGTACTAATGTGGAAGTATCTTTAAAACAGAGTGCTGAATGGAAAAAATGTACAGATTAATATGTCTAGCTTTTGTCTAAAAAAAGAGAAAATAACATATGTTCATGTATGCTTGACTTTGCATTAAAAACCTTGGAAGAACACAAATGATACTAAAGACATAGTTACCTGTGGCAGGTAGCAGTATATAGTTACTAGACATATTTGTGACAGGAATATAAAGAGGAATAGGAATTTTTATTATATTTTTAAACAACATGACTATATTAATTATGAAAAGATTAATTTTTAAAAAGAGTAAGTGATATAGGAAATGTATTCTTTCTCAGAGTAGATAAAACATTGAGTGGGCAATTCATTGAAATAATGTTTTCTAGGTCCCATTAGATATTTTTTGGGCCTTGAAATTTTTAATATCTGTTTTACTTGACAAATATTTATTAAGTGCCTTTTATGTATCAAGCAATGGTAATACAGAAGGCAACAAGACTGACATGTTCCTCATCCCCATGGTATGTATATTCCAGTGGAGGGAAAACACAATAAATCATAAACAAATAAAAAAGATATTTTCAGAATGTGATAAGTGCTATAAATAACATAAACATGACAGAAAGAGGCAAGATGAATGTGAAATGGAAGTCCTGGAGAAGGTCTTCCAGTGTGGTAACTTAGGAACTGAGATTGGAATGCCAGGAAGGATTCAGAGATGTGAAGAATTTGGGTGTTGGGGAGGAACCTGCAAAGGAAAAGGCCCTGAAAAGGGAAATGGCTGAAGAGAAACAGGAAAGAAGGCAAGGTGGAAGAGCACGGTGAATGTGGTGCAGAATAAAATTGCGGCGACAGGTAGGGACTAAATCAAGCTGAACTTTAGGGAAATGATGAGGAATTTGGGTTTTATTTTACATGAAATGAAAAACTACTAAAAGTTATTGGAAGTTACTGAAAGAGTATAATGATCTGATCAAGATTAAAAAACAAAAAGCATTCATTTTATTGGGGGAAAAATAACAGATTAAGAAGGGGTTGGCAGTGAGAAAGGAAGAAAATCAGAAGTTACATCACATAAGCCAAGAAACAATAGTGTTTAAAAAAGAAGAAATGTCCCCCAAATGTTCCAACTGAGGACAGAGAAACTGTCCGCTAGATTTAGTCTCATGGAAGTCTTCTATGGTCTGACAAGAGCAATTTCTATGGAGTCGTGGGTAGAGAAGATGGACTAGAATATGATGGAAAGTGGATGGACTCTCTATTTTATACTCACCTCCCCACCTCACTCCCAACACATGAAAGTGAATGAGAAATAAAGAAGTGAAGAAAGAAGATTTAGATGACTCTTTCAAGTGCTCTATGTAACCGTAGATACATGGAGATGTTGTGTATATCCAGGCTGGCATATCTGTGTGTTGGTTTAGCAAATACATATCAAAAATTCTTACATGAAAAGCTCCTTTATAACAAGATGTTCTCACTTTTTTAGTGACAAAATCCCATGAATAAATCCAAAAAGAGTCTATTTTATATAAAATCCCACCCTGTTGGAAGTATTGCAAGTTTCCACTGAAATTTTTAATCTGACTTCTAGATATATTTTTGGAGTGTTGTCTATTTTGTCAGCCTGCCAGATTATGTCAAAATGTTGATATGTAATAACAGTTTATCTCGTGTTCCTTTATCCACCCTATTTACCCACCTCAGCTGTGTTAACTGTCCTTGACTGATTCCACTGCATCATTAATACTGCCATAGGGAACCGTGCCCTGATCATTCATACTGCCACTAATAGGATGCCAAGTGGATGTTTCAAAGTTGGATGCTGATGATTATCATTGCGATGTATATGACATCGCTAAGACAGCATTTTCAGTCAAAAATATGGCTGCCGTTTAAGGTGTGAGCTTTTTGCCTTTTTACCTAGAAAAACAATGATATGTAAATTTCTTATTATAATTTGTATTACTCTACTCTTATTTGCTATTTGTCAACTCTGCAAGAGACAAGGGTTGGTACAGAAAATATCATTTTATCAGAAGGAAACCTTGTCTTCTACAGTAGGTACTACCTTCTTGAGCTGATTCTGGATAATAAAGCTTGCTTCGCAATAATCCAGAGTTTTCCAAACCATATATTTGACTCCCTTTACTGACTGATATGCAAAGTTGTGTTTAACTATATGGAAAATTGTGAATCCTTTTCATCCAAGTCTACACACTCCACTTGCTTTTCCCTTCTACCTTGAATTCATGTGCATTCCCCCAGTTTTCTGCCTTTGTAATGGAGGCTTCAGTTCTTCTGCAGCCACAGTTGCAGGAAACCCAATTGTAATCAGCAGCTGCCCTGCTGCTAAAAGCTATTAGTGCCAATGTTGTTAATGACCGACCCAGTTGAATGTGCTGATTTAAGGGGTAGACTTATTTCTTGTCACTCCCTAGGGCCTTGTTCTTAAATGAGATTTCTACGTTGTTTAGTTGTTTACTCCTCTAGCATAAGGAGTATTAACCACTAACAACCACACTTCGTATATCAGCACGTTGAATTGAAATAATGGGGAGGTTAAGACATATCACTACCTTTGAGGTATGAAGACACGCGCCCTGAAAAAACTTGGCTCCTACCCCTAATTTTTGCCTAAAGAAGTTGGATACCACTGCAATTTGCTCTGAAGTTATACATGTTATTGTCTTCAAGGGACTATAGGATGAGAAGGGTACAGTTAGGTTTCTTTTCAGAACTAAACACATTAGCAGTAACCTGCAAAAATCAATACCAATTACTTGCAAGCAAGGGCTTAAAAAAAAAAAAAATTACTGAAGCTACAGAATATGCCCATAGGTGAATGGCTTAAAACAAAGAAAATACTGGCATAGCTGGTACTCTCACAAAATAGAAGCAAAAGTAGTAAAGTTCTCTTTTATTTATTTTGGCATTTTGGTATTAATTTGTAAAAGCCAACAACTGTTATATTTAAAAAGAAAAATAAATAAAGCAGCAAATAACTCAATATAAGAAGGCTATTTTACTGTCTCCCTGGCATGACTAAGGTTTGTGTTGTCTTTCTAGCAGACATCAAGGCATTCAGAAGGTGTATGGGGATGGCTTATCTATATAAACCAGTAAACCTTTTATTCAATACCCAGACATTCTGCATGCCAATATTATGTGTTTAGTGTCTCGAGATTCTATTTAGCAGAAATTCACTTTGAGGGGCTTGGTGAAGCCTTCAGAGGTTTAACTGTGTAGTCTCTCCTTTATTCAAAAGGCTGAAATAATATTTTTCCGGTTTCTGGAATTCTTAAGCTTGCATTTCAGATTAAACTATCGCAGAGAGTAGAATTTCTTCCTTCCTTGTCTTCTAGTAGTAAAGATGGGGCACATATCTGTAAGATGTGGACCCAGAAACTCTACTCTCAAGTCTGGCTATGATGACGAAGTCTTGAGAAGCTAGTAAGCCTTGCTACCTCATTCAAGTCCACGGTAGAGTTGTGTATGAATGTATGGAGAGGTGGGGGAAGTTCCAAATACTACAGAATTTCCCCATAGTTAACAGCCCTGCTTACCAAACAATTGAGGCCATGTGGAAATGGTACCTATCATTAAATCTCACATCAGAAGGAACGAGTTTTGGCATGTCTGTATCGCCAATATGAGTATCAAAAAAGGTAACTGTGGATCTTCTTGGACAGTCATTTTCCTGGACTTCAGTTTGGTCCTCCCTGGTCATAAAATGATATGATTCTTAATACTTGAAAAAATTGTCCCAAAACACAATATCACCCAAAAAAACCCTCTTTTACCAGCTTCCTTTTTTTTTCTTTAATTGCAGAGCCTCAAATCGATATTTAAGAAGTAAGAGAAGTGAATGGTGGTCACACAATGCCTGAAAAAGAAAGCTCTGAGTAGTTGTCTGGGGGACACTAGAAACAAAAGAAGTGTGTCACGTGATACCATAATGGCATCCAGCACTTTCCATATAGGGAAGGCAGACAGGGAAAAGAAAATTTTGCTTAACGTGGATTGAGGAAGTAGTGGACTCAAGTAATGGAAAGGAAATGAATTTTACAGTATTCTGAGGTACTGGTAAATTTACTTGCTACGGATTATACTGAAGGTAAAATGCTGCTTAAATAGAGTCTAAGATTTTATGTATCAAATATTTACCTAATTTTTAAAGCATTAAAAATGTTAGGATTCAATAGTTATAGTTACTTTCATCCTTTGAAACAAAAATAATTCTTGTTTCAATTTTATATGTTGAGCTGTTAAAAGAAAATTGAAAGAGGCAAACAATATATACTTATTTGTCTCTATGGGTTTGTGCAGTTTATAGATATCCTGAGCAGTGCTTCTAGTGAGCGTTCTTAGTAGCACCAGGTTGGTTGTTAATGGAGTATTGACCCAGCAATTTACTGGGGCAAGCCCTTCTGCTCTACTCAGAGTTGATGTGTTTTATATTACAATTGCATCTAATACCTTATTTTACAACTTCAATTAATATAGTTGGGTAGAACTCGAAGAAAGTTTATAACAAAGCTATGAATAGAGTAATTCATTATTATAAAAGTGTACTTTGAGAGGAGAAACTAGGATTGTTTTTCCTCAGAAAGAAAACACTGATGTATGATAATAGTATTCTCCAATAAAATTAAAAATAAACATCTAAAGAGACATAACATTTCTGTTGAGAATAGAAAACCTGCACTCGCTGTCTGCAAACACTGGGATAATATCTTTCACAAAATGTTTATAATCCAGATAAAAAGAGAAGATATATATGTGCAAATCAAGAGAAGAAATGAAATAGAGAAGAAATGAGAGAAGAGATGACAACCACTAAACAAAGAGTGGAGAGAGAGAAGTGCTCTGACAGTTGGAGGGCAACAGAGATCTCTCTGCACTGAGGAGGCCAAGGAAGGCTTTTTAAAAAGATGATATGGGGTGTGGGTGTTGAAGATAGAAGGTGGGATGTAAAATATAAGAAAAAGGGCAAAGTTTTTGCACGAAACCTTAAGGTGACCATTCTCACTTCGGTTCCTTGGTTTTTGTGGAGGGATAGTAGGTAGTAAAATTAGGGTGAGAACTTTGAGGATAGATTGAGGGTAGTAATTTACATCAGGCTAAGGAGTTGTAGGCATTCTCCTATAAGCCAGGCAATAGAAGGCCATCAGAAGTTTACAAGCTGGGATATAATATGACTTTTATAAACAGCAATATGCCAGTTGTGTGAAGGATGAGTTTAGAGAAAGACTGAAGCTGAGAACACTAAGAAAATGTTTTAACAGTGATAGGGAAAAAGTAATTGGATATTTTGGCTGAACTCCTTAATAGAAATAATGAAAGGAACACAAAAGGAAAACACAAAATCTAGTTCAATGAATACTTAAAATTTATAAGTGATAGTATAATCCTATAATTTATTCTGAATTAAGAATCCATAATTCTGATTCTATAATTGGAACTATCCCAGAATTCTATGTCCTATTTGACATTAGTTTGACTTAAAGATTGGCTTATGTCTCAATCAATCAATTTGATGGTGACCAAGAATTTCCTTTCAATTTACAGTTTAATACTGGCCAGAGAATGGAAAGTAAAAAGCCATAGCACATGCTATATATATGATCCATAGACTTATCAAATTCAAATTTAATGGGGAGTCTAAAACAGCTATTTGGCATTTATACCCCAGGTTTTTTCTAATATTTTATCAGAGATATCAAAGAGACTTCAAACTCAATTCACTGACTGATATAAACAGCAAGCTATTTCAACAGATAGAGAACGCTGGGATAAAGAAAAAGGGCTTGGAATTTTTTTGAAGTGAAAAAATATGTGTAAAAAATGCATTTCTAATAGTCACAGGACAAAAGTGGACAGAATTTCCCATTACAGTAAAATTTAATGAATTCAGTTGGTTCTTTTAACCATCATATGGTCTCATCAAGAAATAAGAAAGAATATCATTAAGTGGATATCCCCCTTTACATAAAAGCTGAATACATTTTTTTTTTTTTTTTTTTTGAGACGGAGTCTTGCTCTGTCACCCAGGCTGGAGTGCAGTGGTGCAATCTCGGCTCACTGCAAGCTCCACCTCCTGGGTTCACACCATTCTCCAACCTCAGCCTCCTGAGTAGCGGGACTACAGGCACCCACTACCAAGCTCAGCTAATTTTTTTCTATTTTCATTAGAGATGGGGTTTCGCCATTCACAGGATAAAATCTGAATACATAATACATTTTAAGGACTGAAATCCCTTCTATAATAACTTTAGTAATTACTCACTGTTGATGAAAAATATCCTAGGCCAAAAGTTTTCTCTGTTTGCCCCAAGCAGATGGAGTAAGGGCTCTGAGTCAACCTGACTTCCCTCTGCATGGTGTCAAGCACTCTGTGGCTTCATGGCCTTGCAATCCAGTTAATCCCTAGGAACCAAACTTACCCAAGTGGTTGTGTAAGTTGTACATAATAAATGTAAAGTGCTTAGCATAGCACATAAAATGTAAAGTGCTTAACATAGCACATAACAAAAAAAATTGTTGAGTAAACGAATATTTTGCTCTAAATAGTGTGGGCCACAAGATCTACTAAACAAATTAGATTGTAAAACTTCTCAAGGGATATCCTCGGTGTATTTGGTAGAGGAAAGAGGAAAGAGATTTGTAAAATGATTGAAATATGTTACTTACCTTTAGGATTTTTTTTCTTGCCAAGCTTTGGGTTTTGAACTTGCGGAATCTTAGAGTCACAGGAAGAAGAAATAGATAGCTCCTGTAGTGCTGGCTATAGTCTCATAGAGCCCAAAAAGGTAGGAAGGAGATGATTTAGAAAGTATGAGAGGGTAGAATGCCAGGGAGGTTTCTGACCAGTTGTTTTCCAGGCCAAAGCAAGTAATGCAATGACTTCTTGTATTAAACCCATCATTTATTTAATCAAAGATAAAGCATATTTCTATTATTTCTATAATAATAGAAATTCTACAAGAAAGGAGAGAAACCTTTAAGTTTTCCCTAAAGAAAGCCATTCTTCCTATTCTTATGATTTCTGATGCTAGCTACACTGCTTTCAAAACACACGATCCTTTAGGGTACAGAGGAGAGAAAAGGAATTCGTTTAAAACATGATTTTCTATGTAGATCATCAACGAATGAAGAAAGAAACTAGAAAAAAGGGGGAAGAAATGGGTGAATGTAGTATACTTATTTCAGATATGAAGATGTGCTTCCAGGTACAGCACTAGAGGTACAAATTCATTCTAGAGCTTTGTTCACTGCTACTTACTATCTCTGGAACTACAGTCACTGCAGAACCAGGGCATTGAAGCCCAAGGTTAATACAGATTGTAGGGAGCAGACAAAATTGGATCGAAGTCCAGATTTCCTTGTTTTCTAACTGGAAGGGGCTTGGGCATTTCATTTAATACCACTAAGTTTCAATTTATCCATATGTAAAATGAGCCTCATAGAGGTGTTATAAGGAATCATAGATTACTGCATTCTTCCATTCTATGACATAGGCACATTTCACATTTTAATTGGGATGATTCTTAAAATCAATGGCACATCTTTTTTGGAAGTGCCACATAAAGTCATGAGGCATCAAACAATAAATTCTATCTTAATTTGATAAAATACATGAAGGTAATAAAGGCAAAGTGCCTCTGACAACATCTGGCATCTAATAAGCACCAGCAAATTGTTTTGGGGTGATGCTCAGTGCTGTTGCTATTACCCCATGCTACACCACTCAGGGAAGCATCTCTTTCTTCATAAATGTTCACTGATACTCCAGCTCAAGTGAATGCAGTCTAGTGCGTATTTTGTGAAAGAGTAATTAAAGTCTTAAATGTCCTAGTTTCTCTAATCATCTAAAATATCATACTTTTAATATAAAAATAATAATACCTTAAAAATGAAATGATACATCTTTGGAACATTTATCACCTTCAAAGGACTTGCAATCCTCCTACATAATAATGGTACTATATTACTTAGTTCTTGGGTATGAAGAGTCTGTACTGCACATAGCACTCTGCTAGGCACGAGTTTTCCTTGTTTTTTCTAATACAACTTTGATATGACCTAATTTCACCACCAAAAAAACCAGCACCATATGGCAAGTTCCCCATTTCCCCTAAAATAATTTATTGAGCCTTTAGTGTGTCCCAGTGACTGAACTCTTTATGCTGAATTTTTCTCAAGATTTCTTCAGGACATCAGAACATAATGCAGATTTTTTTTCAGGTGGCCCTCTACCAACTGGATATGAAATTGGATCAGCTGGAGGCAAGAACAGATGGGGTTGAGCAGCAGATGGAAAGATCCTGTTTAGGATATGCAGAATCACTCTGGCAAAATCAATCATGCCACAGGAGTTAGTTTCAGTTTGGTGAAAGAAAATGAACTCAAGTAGACAACTGAGTTACCGGGAAATTAATACGAGCTCACACTTTAGAAAGTCTTGATTAAGTGTCAATAAGACAGATGAGCTAATGATGTTGAATTAAAAGTCTTAAATGTCACGTTTGTCAGTGATCATAATAGCTCTCCATATTTAGTGCTTACCCTTTACCAGGCATTTCAGGTACAGATCTCATTCAATCCTTACAAAAACCCTGTGAGACAGGCATTTTTCCGATATCACAAATGCTTAAATGGAAGTTCTAAGTAAATTGATCAAGGTCATAGGACTCTAGGTAACAGAAACAGGATTGGAACTTGTCTGGCTAGCTGGAAAGCCCACACAAATCATGAACACTCTACTACTTTCCAGTGTTAAATGATGTGTATACAAGAACAATTGGAGGAGCATACGGTCAACTTTCAGATATCCTAAGGTCCTTTCCACAGTAACAATTGGAACAGGCCTGTGATGGTCAGAGTGACCACCGGGCATCTGCTTGAATCTTTGTGGGGAATACAGAGCAGCGAGGGGGGCCACATGGTCCCCAGTAAAGCAGAGGTCACAGGTGTCACATACAGGCTCTGGTGAATCCCACGGAGTCCCTGTAGAAATCTCACATCTGCTTACCCCGAGAAGGTCTCCCAGAATCCTGGAGCTGCCTTGCTCCAGAAGTGGATCTCCATAGCAACCTTAGGCCAAAAGAGTCTCATGCACCCGTTCTAGTCCAAACATGCTATGATGGACTTTGTTTCCATGGGGCATTCAATACATATGTGAATCTGAGATTGTGAGTGGCTTGGAGTACGTACTGTCTCAGTCCATTCGGGTTGCTATTAAAAAAAAAAAAAAAACATAAACTAGGTGGCTTATAAACAACAGGAATTCATTTCTCACGGCTCTGGAGGCTGGGAAGTCCAAGACCTGCCAAGGTATTGGTGGATCTGGTGTCTGGTGAGGGGGAGTTTTCTGTTCATAGATGGCTCTTTCTAGCTGTGACTTTTCATGGCAGAGGGGAAAATGCACTCTCTGGGGCCTCTTGTATAAGGTCACTAATACCATATGTAAAGGCTCTGCATCTCATGACCTACTTCCCCCCCAAAAGGCCCCACTTCCTAACATCACTTTGGGTGTTAAGATTTCAGCATATTAATTTGGTGGGGGTCACATAAACATCCAATCCACTACATCTACTTTCTTCAAAACTGTAGGCAAGCTGTAAAGAAGGGAAAATCATTTCAGCCCAAGTATTCGCCCTGCTTTAACTTTGGAGCAAAAGCAGGAAATAGAAGGAACTTATCATTCATTGACTGCCTACTATTTGCCAAGCATGGAAAGACCATATAATGGGTTGGAGGGAAAATAAGATAAAAGTCTGAGCAACAGATGGAAACACATCTGCCAGGTGCCATGCTCTGTACGCATTACTTCATTCCATACAGCATTCTCTTGTATTAGTGAGTTCCTGCTGACTGCTACGTTACTTTTTCTTCTCAGCCAAATGTTCAAGAAGCAGGTACTGGTTATGAGTAAGCATGGTGAAAACCCATTTTCTAAGAAACAGAAGAGATGGCAAGTGTATCCTCTCAAAGAATTAAATTTTGTTTTCTGCCTTATTTTTCTCAAACAAAACAAGCTTTTACCAATTGCATTACCATAGCCTTGCTATCTATACATAGGTATCACAGAAATCTTAATCTTTGAGTTTTCAAGTTAGAGGAATTCTTATTAAGCATGAGAGTTAATAATCTCCTGAGACACAAATATGCCTGGTAATATGAGAACAATAAATGTTTGTTGGGTCCAAACATGAATTAAAGCTGTATATGTTATGCCTTAAAGACATTAAATTAATCATAAATTATAGTGATTAATTACATTAAAACAGTAGCATTATGAATACACAAGATACAAGTTTCAGTTTAAGGAAAAACCATATTTTAATAATCCCCAAGTACGCCTGTATTCTGAGACACTAAAAATAATTATATGCTACTAACTATACCTTGAAAACGCATACACTCTTACTGAAGACACAGAAATGAACAGAACAGAACTAAAAATTGAATACATTTTGTGACACATGATTTTTTTCATTGTAATATTTCTGAAATTTGGATGCATCTTGGAATCTATGACATCTTATAGTTGCCTTCAGCCAGGTGGCAGTCGTGATGTCACAAGCAATGCTTGCATGTAGGAGAACAACGTGTAAGACACATGTCAGCATCTTGCAAGAAAACCTCAGAGTCAATTACAGACCACTCTTATTATTCCTAGGACCTACTTGTTTTGAAAGAAGATGGGTGAGACAATGTATTATATATGTTTAACATACAGGAAGCAAAAGTAAAAAAAGAAGTCTAGTTCTATGTCATTGCCAAATGACTTAAGAGTCTAGCACCACAGCATTTTAGTTGCTTAACAGATTTAAATGTTACATTGCGCTTGCTTTGGCAGCACATATGCTAACACTGGACCAATACAGGGAAGATCAGCAAGGCCCCTGCACAAGAATGACACATAAATGCATAAAGATTCCATATTTTTTTGGAACACAAAGGATAAATGCTTCAGGGGATTGACACCCAATTTTCCATGATGTGACTGTTACACATGGCATACCTGCACCAAAATATCTCATGTACCCCATGAATATATACACCTACAATGTACCCACGACATTAAAAATAAGTTAACATTTTTTAAGGAAATATTACCTCATCTTATCTCTTGATGGCATAGAAATTTATATTTTAAAACTGTTATATATAATTATATAATTTTATAATCATACAATTATATTTTTATATTTTTAAATAAATATATAATTTAATTATATAAACATTTAATTAAATTATACATTTAATTATATAAACATTTAATTAAATTATACATTTAATTATATAAACATTTAATTAAATTATACATTTAATTATATATTAACTATGTAATTTAATTGTATGTTTTTATATATTTATTATATAATATAGATCCATTATCTATATTTATACATATATCTATATACATAATATATTTAATATATATTATTTATACAGAATTATATATAATTAGGCTTAATAACTCTGAGTCAAAAACGTGATTCAAAGAGTCAAACTCTACATGAAAGGAAGTTTCAGAAATATCTCACCCAATTAACTTTGCTTATATTTTATTTTAAGTATATTTAATTATATTTCAATATATTTTTATATTTCAATATATTATATTGAAATATATTATATTGAAATATATTGAAATATATATTTTTACGTTTCAATATATTATATTTTTATATTTTTATATAAAGCAATATATAAAATTATATTTCAATATATTTCAATATATTATATTTCATATTATATTTCAATATATTTCAAGATATTGTTTTTATATTTTTAAATAAATATTTTATAATTTAATGACATATAAACATTTAATTAAATTGTACATTTAATTATATATTAACTATGTAATTTAATTATATATAGTTATATATATTTATTCTATAATATAGATCATTATATTTATACATATTTTATATGTTATTTATACAGAATTATATGTAATTAGGCTTAATAACTCTGAGTCAAAAACATGATTCAAAGAGTCAGACTCTACATGAAAGGAAGTTTCAGAAATATCTCACCCAATTTATTTTGTTTATATTTTATTTTTGTGTATATGCAATAAATAATTTAAAAATTTATAATCAAGCTGAAAAGAGTTCTTTCAGCAAGCACAAAATTTTCCAGTGATTAAAATTTACTGAGTCCGTTTATTTGGTGGTATTTTTCTTAGGTTTTTTTTTTTTTTCATGAAACAATGATAACTGCTAGCATCGTAGATACAACAAAATAGGGGTATAAAAATATGCGGGAACATGAGGAGATGGTATACAAATCTACAGAGGCATGAAACAATAGAAATTAGCGCCAATCTGGAAGTTAGGAGATAGAGATCCCAGGCTTGGTTCCATAATTAAGGAGCTGCGTGATCTTGAGCAAGTCACTTAATCTCTCCGAGCTTCAACCATAAAATAAGGAGCTGTGATAGATAATTTCCGAGCTCCAGAGAGCAGTGATGTAAGCAATCAGGAAAATAGAACCTTCCCTCGATGCTCCAAGGAAGAAGGGATCTGATGTGGGTCACTATGTGCTTATGAAAGTGACGGAAAGGAGTCCTGAGGTTGAGGAAGGCCAGTCACTGCTGGCCTCAGCTTCTCTAATGGCTACCGAGGGATTAGACATTGCCTCCAGGCAGGTCAGAAACTCAAGGAAACTTCCCCACAGGTCACAGCAGCCTCCGGTATCTATTGGTGAACTGCTAAAGGCTACTAAAAACCCTTTAGGTTCCAAACTCTGCATGTCAGCAGGCCACTGCCCCAATACACACTTCTCTGCCATCCAAATCTCCCACAGGAGTTTCTTACTGGTCGCATCCAAGACAAAGCTCTGTTAGGCAAGGGGTTCTGGGAAATGTAGTTCCTACACTGCCAGTCCCTGTGCTGTAGGAGAGATCATAGAATGAGGTAGGAATGGGGCTGAGTGTCACAGACAGATATCTGGTACCCCAGCTGGGGAGCGAGGGACTATGATGGCAACGCAGGTGAACAAGAGGGAGGGGACGGCATGAAGACAGATTCAGAAGTCATGGAGAGGAAGGTACACATCTGAAAGACACCTCAAAGGAAGAATTGAAAGATTAGATATGGGTTACTTTTTCTTTCCACACTAGTGAGTCAATATAATCTATAAATCAAGTCTCTTTAGCTCCTCTGCTGACTATCATGTTCTTTTTCCCTAGCTCTCCTGTAACAGGGAACAATACACCCTTTTTCTTGTAGTGCAAGAATAATGATTTGCTGGCAGAAGCTCCGTGAATCAGACTTTGCACTGAACATGTTATATTGTTTGGGAACCCAGCTAAATTTTTCCATGACTGCTTTAAAAGTGATTTCCATTTAAAGCTAGGTGGAACAAATTCCTGCTGCTGGCTAAATCTTCTTTTTCTTTTCCAATGAACAGAATCTCATAAAAAGGACTATTGCTCTTTTGTACTTTTCTGTGATGCATTTTGTGTTGGGGTCTATGGAGGAAGCCATCTAAAACTACAGAGTGTTGTAAAAATACCCTCGTAATTCTACTAGAATTCAACTTTTTAATAGCTGTCTTTCTTCTCCTTTTATATCTCCTTTTCAATTATTTCTTTCCCTTTGGTACTCTGACAGACTAATGTTTCTGGGTCTTTCATAGACACCTACATCGACCAAATGGATCCATCTCCCACCTTTGAGATCCTCATTAAACTCTGGCAGAGTTTGGTGGCTACATGAACTCAAACCCCAGACGTATGGAGAAAGAATCACTTTCAATAGAAAACCTAACATCACCAGTACTTACAATTCTGACTAATTTTTGTCATAAATAAATACAGTGGACGTCATTTATGTCCATTTTGAGTCTGTATCTATGTTATATCACACTTTGCCTAATAATAATGCTGCTGTCAATTTAATGAGGGTTTTAGCTTACATAAATAACAAACATTCAGTTCAGTGGGGTTTATCTTAAACTGTACAGAGGTGCTTGTTTTATTATAATTCAACTGAATCAGAAACTTTCTTTCTCTCCACTTGCTCACACTGGCTTCTAACCAACTCACGTTTCTTTAATGACAAGTGCTAAATAAACTTCACCTGGGGACTGATCTGCCAATAAGGATAAAAAAAAGAATTGCCCCGGCTACCAAAGTATCATTGTTTCATCTCCAATGAAACATTCCCCTGTAAAACCATTTCTCTCTATGCAAGGACTTGGAGTAGGAATCCAGCCACAGAGGTCAGGGAAGGCCCCACCACCACCATCCCCACTGACTCAGAAAAGGATTAAAATATTTTAAAGAAGGAGGACCAGAGGACAAAACGTCAGCATGGTCAAGAAAAAGTGAGCAGAGCCATGAATCGAGTGATGAAGTTGTAGATTCATAGAAAACATGTAAAGGCTATCATATATGTAGAGGTAAAGTGTCACTCCTCGTTTTAAGGGTGAAGAAATGAGGCTTGCAGGAGTTAAGTGTCACACAGCAGATAGTGGCCAAGATAGTGGCCAAGCCAGGCTGAGTCCCATGTCCAAATCAGTGTACTGCTTGCTTCTCTGTGCACCTGTCATCTTTAGTGGTGGTGAATGGATGAGCAGTATTGAGGTTAATACCCTAAGAAATAACACAGCAATAATGCTCAAGTGTAATCTAGTAATAATAATGATTGGAAATCAACATTACTGTAGTGACTTCAATTGTGTGCCCCAAAAAGATATGTCCAAGTTCTCATCCCTGGTACCTGTGAACATGACCTTACTTGGAAACAGGGTTTGTGCAGATGTAATGCAGTTAAGGATCTGCAGATTAAGATCATCCTGGACTTAGAAATCTACTCTAAATCCACTGACTGGAGTCCTCATGAGAGAAAGGAGAGAGAGCTTTGACACACAGAGAAGCAACTCATGTGAAGACCCATGTGAAGAGAGAGGAAGAGATTGAAGTTCTGTGGTCACAAGACCAAGAATGCCAGGAGCCATGAGAAGCTGAAAGAGGCAACAAACCTCCTCCCCTGGAGCTGTGGAGGGAGTGCAGTCCTGCTGAGGCCTCCATTGTGGACTTCTGGCCTCCATTGTGGATTTCTGGCCTCCAGAGCTGTGAGCCAATACATTCTGTGGTTTTAGGCCATCAAGTTTGTGGTCAGTTGTTACAGCAGCTTTAGGAAACTAATACAACTATGAAAATACCCAATCTAAAAAGCAATCCAGGAAGAAATTTTTGTTGTCCTAGTGGTTTGTTGTTGTCATTGTTGATTTTAACAAAATATAGCTCAAATAACAGTACTTTGAACTTTTCAGTTAGGAATAATTACACACGTAACGGCTCCCCTAAATGTTTTTTAGCCTAAAGACTCTGTCAACATTTAATATTATATAAAAGGCTCTGTCTACCTCCCCAGCCTCGTGTCCTCCCAGCCTTCCCCTTCCCCCAGTATTCCAGCCACACTGGTCTTCTCTTTGGTTCCAGAACATGCTAGGACCCTTCTCACCTCAGGCTTCTATGTGCTCCTCCTTTGGCTGGCACACTCCTCCCCCACCATGCACCACCTCCCCAGTCAACATCAGCTCCAAAGTGCAACTCTACGGGAAGCCCTCCTGCCCCTTTATAATAGATCAGCCCCACACATACACTCTCTTTGTAAACTCTCCTAACACCCTTTCCCTCTTCTTCACAGTCATGATCATTGTTTGTAATTTTTCATTTATATTTCTGGATTGTCTGTCTTTCCTGCTGGACTGTCACTCTCTGACGGCAGGCACAGGACATTTTGCTCATCATGACATTTCATGGGTAGCATGATGCCTGGCATATAGCAGCCACTCATAAATATTTGGAAAATAAGTGAGTGATAGTATTTAGCCTTGGATGGAGCTCTTGTCTGTTATTCAAACTTATAGCTGTTCTGTTTCCAACATATAAAATTGAAATTGTAGAAAAATCTGTACATAGTCATAATTTGAAAATTAACTTATTTTAGTAATGTCTTAATTTTTCTCCTCTGAGTTTCTAAATGAATTCATGAAAGTTCTGCTTTGTCCCAAAGGCATTTCATAAATAAGTAAGCATAGCTAAAAGGGACTCAAACCTGTTACATTTCACCATGCCATCCGAGTTCATGGATAGGTGAATTTGCCCTAATTAGTATTATCCATTTATATAATCAATAAGCATGTTGGGTACCGTATTAGTCCATTTTCATGCTGCTAATAAAGACATATCCGAGACTGGGCAATTTACAAAAGAAAGAGGTTTAATGGACTCACAGTTCCATGTTGCTGGGGAGGCCCCACAATCATGGCAGAAGGTGAAAGTCACGTCTCACATGGTGGCAGACAAGAGAAGAGAGCTTGTGCAGGGAAACTTCTCTTTATAAAACCATCAAGATTCATGAGACTTATTCACTATCATGAGACTAGCACAGGAAAGACCCACCTCCATGATTCAGTTACCTCCCACTGGGTCCCTCCCACAACACATGGGAATTGTGGGAGCTACAATTCAAGTTGAGATTTGGGTGGGGACACAGCCAAACCATATCATTCTGCCCCAGCCCCTCCCAAATCTCTTGTCCTCTCATTTCAAAACCAATTATGCCTTCCCAACAGTCCCCCAAAGTCTTAACTCATTTCAGCATTAACTCAAAAGTCCACAGTCCAAAGTCTTATCTGAGACAATATAAGTCCCTTCTGCCTATGAGCCAGTAAAACCAAAAGCAAGTTAGTTACACCCTAGATACAATGAGGGTGCAGGCATTAGATAAATACATCATTCCAAATCGGAGAAATTGGCCAGACTGAAGAAGCTAAAGGCCCTATGCAAGTCCAAAATCCAGCAGGGCTGTCAAATCTTAAAGCTCCAAAAGATCTCCTTTGACTCCAGGTCTCACATCCGGGTCACACTGATGGTGGGCTCTCACAGCCTTGGGCAGCTCTGTCCCTGTGGCTTTGCAGGCTATAGCCTCCCTCCTGACTGCTTTCATGGGCTGGCATTGGGTGTCTACAGCTCTTCCAGGTGCATGGTAGTTCTCCATGAGCACCCCGCCCCTGCAGCAAATTTCTGCCTGGACATCCAGGCATTTCCATACATCTTCTGAAATCTAGGTGGAGGGTCTCAAACCTCAGTTATTGACTTCTGTATACCTTCAGGCTCAATACCATGTGGAAGCTGCCAGGACTTGGGGCTTGCACCCTCTGAAACCATTGTCCAACCTGTACCTTGACCCCTTTTAGTCACACCTGGAGCGGCTGGGATGCAGGACACCAATTCCCTAGACTGCATACAGCACAGGGACCCTGGGGCCACCCCACGAAACCATTTTTCTCTCCTAGGCCTCTGGGCCTGTGATGGGAGGGACTGCCACAAAGATCTCTTACATGTCCTGGAGACATTTTCCCCATAGTCTTGGTGAATAACTCGGCTCCTCATTACTTATCCAAATCTCTGCAGCCAGCTTGAATATCTCCTCAGAAAATAGGATTTTTTTTTCTATCACATTGTCAGGCTGCAAATTTTCCAAACTTTTATATTCTGATTCTCTTTTTAAACTGAATGCCTTTAAGAGCACCCAAGTCACCTCTTCAATGTTTTTCTGCTTAGATATTTTTTCTACCAGATACTCTGAATCATCTCTCTCAAGTTCAAAGTTCCACAAATCTCTATGGCAGGGGCAAAATGCTGTCAGTCTCTTTGCTAAAGCATAAAAAGAATCACCTTTGCTCCAGTTCCCAACAAGTTCCTCATTCCATCTGAGACTACCTCTGCCTGGATTTTACTGTCCATATCATTATCAGCATTTTGGTCAAAGCCATTCAGCAAGTCTCTAGGGAGTTCCAAACTTTCCCACATTTTCCTGTCTTCTTTTGAGCCCTCCAAACTATTCCAACCTCTGCCTGTTACCCAGTTCCAAAATTGCTTCCACATTTTTTGGTATCTTTTCAGTAGGGCTCCACTCTACTTGTGCCAAAATCTGTATTAGGGTTCTCTAGAGGGACAGAACTGATAGGATAGACATATATATAAAGGGAATTTATTAAGAGTATTGACTCACATGATCATAAGGTGAGATCCCACAATAGGCCACCTGCAAGCTGAGGGGCAAGGAAGCAAGTCCAAGTCCCAAAGCTAAAGAACTTTGGGTCCAATGTTCAAGGGCAGGAAGTAGCCAGCACAAGAGAAAAATATAGACCAGAAGACTAAGCCAGTCTAGTCTTTCCACGTTCTTCTGCCTGCTTTTATTTTGGCTATGCTGGCAGGTGATTAGATTGTATCCACCCAGATTGAGGGTGGATCTGCCTTCCCCAGTCCATTGACTCAAATGTTAGTCTCCTTTGGCAGCACCCTCACAGACATACCCAGGAACAACACTTTGCATCCTTCAATCCAATCAAGTTGACACTCAGTATTAACCATCACAGGTACCTAATAGATTCCAAAGATTGTATTTTAAAATATGTTTTAATCTATAGAAGAGAAAAAGAAGATAACAAGAACAGTAATGAGAGGTAAATCACAGTGAGGCTGGGTGGCGGTAAAGGAACATTTCCAGAGGCAGTCACTCTTGAGCTGAGTCTTAAAGAGTAGGAGAAAGTGAGTAAAGAAAGCCATGAAGGTTGTTTTAGGTCAGGGTTTCTTATTTTTGACATTTTTCACAGAATAATTCTTTGTTGTCAGGGGCTGTCCTGTGTGTTTTAGGATCTTAACAGCATCCCTGGCCTCTGTCCATGAGGTGCTAGTGTGACAACCAAAATGTCTCCTGAAGATTTCTCAATGAACTGAAAACAGAACTGCAGTTTGATACAGCAATCCTACTACTGGGCGTCTACTCAGAATAAAAGAAATCATTATATAAAAAGGATGCCTGCACTTGTATGCTTATTGCAGCACTATTCACAATAGCAAAGATATGGAATCACCGTAAGTGTCTAATGGATGATTGGATAAAGACAATGTGGTGTATATATGTGTGTGTGTGTGTATATATATGTGTGTGTGTGTGCTGTGTATATATATATGTATACACACACACACACACATATATATACCATGGAATACTACTCAGCCATAAACAAGAATGAAATCATGTCTTTTGGAGCAACATGAATGGAATTGGAGGTCATTATGTTAAATGAAATAACTCAGAAGCAGAAAGCCAAATACCTCATGTTCTCACTTATAAGTAGGAGCTAAATGATGTGCACATATGGTCATAGAGCATGGAATAATAGACACTGGAGGCTCAGAAAGGGAGGAGGGTGGGAAGGGGAATGAGAAATTATCTAATGGGTACAATGTACACTATTTGGGTGATAGTTATCCTAAAAGCCAGACTTCCCCACTGTACAATATATCTGTATAACAATACTGCACTTTTACCCCCTAAATCTATAAAAATTTAAAAATTTTAAAAAACGAAAACAAAATGTCACCTGACATTGCAAAATATCTCCCCTGGAATGCACCTTCTTCCCAGTTAAGAACCACTGGTGGGGGCAGAGGAAGGAGCCTATCTGCAGTTGGGGGTGTCTGAGTTACTGCAGCATGTCCAGGTAGCTCTAGGAGAGTGCCCGGGAGGGAGATAGGAGAGAAAGTACAACACTGCTCTTACACAGGGGGTTTCATGTCTTATGCTGGGGAGTGTGGAATTTCATCCTGAAAGCACTTATGCAGAATCAAAGGATCTTAAGTAGGAAGTGGACATGGGCTAATTTGTGCTTAAGAAAAATCACTCTGGTCACAGTGGAAAGGAAGGATCGAATGGAGATCAGAATGAATTTGAAAGAATTGAATGTAATCCAGAAGAGAAATGATTCATGGGGACAGAAAGGAAAGGAAAGGGAAGATAGAAAGGTACTCACATCACATCTCTAAGACCTTGTCTAGAATGGGATCTAGATTCTTGGTTTGGATGATCAGAAAGTAGAATCATAAATCTTCTCCAAAATCCACTTGGAAATTAGCCCTCATGACTTTATGAAAAAAAAAATCAAACCCTTGAACTCAGAAAAATTACTTGTAAAGTTGGTTAAGCATAATCTAGGTGACCTCATGATGTAATAAATAAAAATAGCCACTACCTCCGGCTTCAAATTCAATTAGGCCTTCAGCAAAGATTATTTCAGCAAATTGTCAAAAATATTAGTTTTTAATCAATGTATTAGAAAACTGTAGTAAATTTTCACCCCCTGCCCCCAAGCAATGTCTAGACAAGTGAGACAGAGAGACAAAATGAGTAATTGAGGCCATTTTTCTTGCCTGATTGTTCAGAAAATTGCCTCATTTCTTTGCTTTATTTTCTGAGTCCACATAATGATAACAGAAAAAGTTGTATGTGTGGATATTTTTTACAATCTGAATCTTTGACAGTGTTGAGAGAGGTAATCGCCAACAAACACACTATCACAGCATTTGCCAGATCGTCTGTTTTCTTTCAGGCTTTTGTCAGTATCTAAGGCAAGTCCTTTGTGTGAGAACTGACTAGATAAAATGTCATGAGCACCTCCTGTGAGGGAAAGACCGAGACTGAGATCTCAGTCATAAAGAGACTCCCCAGCTACAGGTGCTACAAGGTGTGCAAAGGCAATTAACAATTTGGGGCAAAGCGCAATTTTCATAGACTCTGTTTTGCAAAAAAAAAGACCCTACGCTACCTATTTCACAAAGTTATTCACATTTCTAGCTCATGAGGAACACAGGATATTCAGGCCCTGCTAAAGGATATGAATAGGTCATCCAGGTTTTGATTAAGAGATTGTTTGAACAAGTCCCAAGTGGGAATAATTCAAATTAAAGCAAGAATGTGTCAATACATCTGAAATGTTGAAGAATGCAAAAATAGTATTTATACATAAATATAAAATATAAATGGAATTTTTATGTGTTGATCAATTATGTATTTTTAAATATTTGGCTTCAATAACAATATAAGAAAAATGAAATTCCTACTAATCCATAGAATAATGTGTACTTTCTTTTAAGAAATCACCAACCTTAAAATCACTAAAATATGATACATTTAACAAAATGGTAGATTTTAAATTATAAACCAAACTGAATTCAGAAAGTAAAAATTATGATACACAGTTTATATTGGTCAAAGTTGCCATTAATTGTTTATTATCATTAAAAATAAATACATATGTTTCACTTCACATGTGTTACACAGGTGCTTAATATTTTATTAATATAAATGCATAATTCATTTGCTCTTCACAACCACAAAAACTAGATACATGATTATTCCCATTTTGCAGATAAGGAAATTAACACCCAAGTGAAATACTTTACCAAAGGTCACATAGGTAGTAAGTAACAACTGTGTGATCAGAGGAGAGCATTATCTCCAAACTTCGTGAGAGACACATATAAGCAATTAGTCCCTTACAGACTAAGAAATTTTGATACAGACAATTTGTTGCAGATTCATAAGATAGTACAGCCAGTTCTGTGAATCACAGTGTTATATTTATTTCCACATATTCTATGTTAATAATATAATTTTTAATTCCATGTATTTTAAGTTTTCATTCAATAACTGCTATAAGTATATGCAGCTCTGAGAACAAGGGGGAAGAGAATAATTTCAGCCATTTAAAAATAGCTTTTATATTTAGATTTAAATATTTCAGTTGCATTTCTTTTTTTTTTTTTTTTACTTTTTACTTTTCTTTTTTTTTTTTTTTTTATTATACTCTAAGTTTTAGGGTACATGTGCACATTGTGCAGGTTAGTTACATATGTATACATGTGCCATGCTGGTGCGCTGCACCCACTAACGTGTCATCTAGCATTAGGTATATCTCCCAATGCTATCCCTCCCCCCTCCCCCGACCCCACCACAGTCCCCAGAGTGTGATATTCCCCTTCCTGTGTCCATGTGATCTCATTGTTCAATTCCCACCTATGAGTGAGAATATGCGGTGTTTGGTTTTTTGTTCTTGCGATAGTTTACTGAGAATGATGGTTTCCAATTTCATCCATGTCCCTACAAAGGACATGAACTCATCATTTTTTATGGCTGCATAGTATTCCATGGCGTATATGTGCCACATTTTCTTAATCCAGTCTATCATTGTTGGACATTTGGGTTGGTTCCAAGTCTTTGCTATTGTGAATAGTGCCGCAATAAACATACGTGTGCATGTGTCTTTATAGCAGCATGATTTATAATCCTTTGGGTATATACCCAGTAATGGGATGGCTGGGTCAAATGGTATTTCTAGTTCTAGATCCCTGAGGAATCGCCACACTGACTTCCACAATGGTTGAACTAGTTTACAGTCCCACCAACAGTGTAAAAGTGTTCCTATTTCTCCACATCCTCTCCAGCACCTGTTGTTTCCTGACTTTTTAATGATTGCCATTCTAACTGGTGTGAGATGATATCTCATAGTGGTTTTGATTTGCATTTCTCTGATGGCCAGTGATGATGAGCATTTCTTCATGTGTTTTTTGGCTGCATAAATGTCTTCTTTTGAGAAGTGTCTGTTCATGTCCTTCGCCCACTTTTTGATGGGGTTGTTTGTTTTTTTCTTGTAAATTTGTTTGAGTTCATTGTAGATTCTGGATATTAGCCCTTTGTCAGATGAGTAGGTTGCGAAAATTTTCTCCCATTTTGTAGGTTGCCTGTTCACTCTGATGGTAGTTTCTTTTGCTGTGCAGAAGCTCTTTAGTTTAATTAGATCCCATTTGTCAATTTTGGCTTTTGTTGCCATTGCTTTTGGTGTTTTGGACATGAAGTCCTTGCCCACGCCTATGTCCTCAATGGTAATGCCTAGGTTTTCTTCTAGGGTTTTTATGGTTTTAGGTCTAACGTTTAAATCTTTAATCCATCTTGAATTGATTTTTGTATAAGGTGTAAGGAAGGGATCCAGTTTCAGCTTTCTACATATGGCTAGCCAGTTTTCCCAGCACCATTTATTAAATAGGGAATCCTTTCCCCATTGCTTGTTTTTCTCAGGTTTGTCAAAGATCAGATAGTTGTAGATATGTGGCATTATTTCTGAGGGCTCTGTTCTGTTCCATTGATCTATATCTCTGTTTTGGTACCAGTACCAGGCTGTTTTGGTTACTGTAGCCTTGTAGTATAGTTTGAAGTCAGGTAGTGTGATGCCTCCAGCTTTGTTCTTTTGGCTTAGGATTGACTTGGCAATGCGGGCTCTTTTTTGGTTCCATATGAACTTTAAAGTAGTTTTTTCCAATTCTGTGAAGAAAGTCATTGGTAGCTTGATGGGGATGGCATTGAATCTGTAAATTACCTTGGGCAGTATGGCCATTTTCACGATATTGATTCTTCCTACCCATGAGCATGGAATGTTCTTCCATTTGTTTGTGTCCTCTTTTATTTCCTTGAGCAGTGGTTTGTAGTTCTCCTTGAAGAGGTCCTTCACATCCCTTGTAAGTTGGATTCCTAGGTATTTTATTCTCTTTGAAGCAATTGTGAATGGGAGTTCACTCATGATTTGGCTCTCTGTTTGTCTGTTGTTGGTGTATAAGAATGCTTGTGATTTTTGTACATTGATTTTGTATCCTGAGACTTTGCTGAAGTTGCTTATCAGCTTAAGGAGATTTTGGGCTGAGACGATGGGGTTTTCTAGATAAACAATCATGTCGTCTGCAAACAGGGACAATTTGACTTCCTCTTTTCCTAATTGAATACCCTTTATTTCCTTCTCCTGCCTGATTGCCCTGGCCAGAACTTCCAACACTATGTTGAATAGGAGTGGTGAGAGAGGGCATCCCTGTCTTGTGCCAGTTTTCAAAGGGAATGCTTCCAGTTTTTACCCATTCAGTATGATATTGGCTGTGGGTTTGTCATAGATAGCTCTTATTATTTTGAAATACGTCCCATCAATACCTAATTTATTGAGAGTTTTTAGCATGAAGGGTTGTTGAATTTTGTCAAAGGCTTTTTCTGCATCTATTGAGATAATCATGTGGTTTTTGTCTTTGGCTCTGTTTATATGCTGGATTACATTTATTGATTTGCGTATATTGAACCAGCCTTGCATCCCAGGGATGAAGCTGACTTGATCATGGTGGATAAGCTTTTTGATGTGCTGCTGGATTCGGTTTGCCAGTATTTTATTGAGGATTTTTGCATCAATGTTCATCAAGGATATTGGTCTAAAATTCTCTTTTTTGGTTGTGTCTCTGCCCGGCTTTGGTATCAGAATGATGCTGGCCTCATAAAATGAGTTAGGGAGGATTCCCTCTTTTTCTATTGATTGGAATAGTTTCAGAAGGAATGGTACCAGTTCCTCCTTGTACCTCTGGTAGAATTCGGCTGTGAATCCATCTGGTGCTGGACTCTTTTTGGTTGGTAAACTATTGATTATTGCCACAATTTCAGAGCCTGTTATTGGTCTATTCAGAGATTCAACTTCTTCCTGGTTTAGTCTTGGGAGAGTGTATGTGTCGAGGAATGTATCCATTTCTTCTAGATTTTCTAGTTTATTTGCGTAGAAGTGTTTGTAGTATTCTCTGATGGTAGTTTGTATTTCTGTGGGATCGGTGGTGATATCCCCTTTATCATTTTTTATTGTGTCTATTTGATTCTTCTCTCTTTTTTTCTTTATTAGTCTTGCTAGCGGTCTATCAATTTTGTTGATCCTTTCAAAAAACCAGCTCCTGGATTCATTGATTTTTTGAAGGGTTTTTTATGTCTCTATTTCCTTCAGTTCTGCTCTGATTTTAGTTATTTCTTGCCTTCTGCCAGCTTTTGAATGTGTTTGCTCTTGCTTTTCTAGTTCTTTTAATTGTGATGTTAGGGTGTCAATTTTGGATCTTTCCTGCTTTCTCTTCTAGGCATTTAGTGCTATAAATTTCCCTCTACACACTGCTTTGAATGCGTCCCAGAGATTCTGGTATGTGGTGTCTTTGTTCTCGTTGGTTTCAAAGAACATCTTTATTTCTGCCTTCATTTCGTTATGTACCCAGTAGTCATTCAGGAGCAGGTTGTTCAGTTTCCATGTAGTTGAGCGGCTTTGAGTGAGATTCTTAATCCTGAGTTCTAGTTTGATTGCACTGTGGTCTGAGAGATAGTTTGTTATAATTTCTGTTCTTTTACATTTGCTGAGGAGAGCTTTACTTCCAAGTATGTGGTCAATTTTGGAATAGGTGTGGTGTGGTGCTGAAAAAAATGTATATTCTGTTGATTTGGGGTGGAGAGTTCTGTAGATGTCTATTAGGTCTGCTTGGTGCAGAGCTGAGTTCAATTCCTGGGTATCCTTGTTGACTTTCTGTCTCGTTGATCTGTCTAATGTTGACAGTGGGGTGTTAAAGTCTCCCATTATTAATGTGTGGGAGTCTAAGTCTCTTTGTAGGTCACTCAGGACTTGCTTTATGAATCTGGGTGCTCCTGTATTGGGTGCATAAATATTTAGGATAGTTAGCTCCTCTTGTTGAATTGATCCCTTTACCATTATGTAATGGCCTTCTTTGTCTCTTTTGATCTTTGTTGGCTTAAAGTCTGTTTTATCAGAGACTAGGATTGCAACCCCTGCCTTTTTTTGTTTTCCATTGGCTTGGTAGATCTTCCTCCATCCTTTTATTTTGAGCCTATGTGTGTCTCTGCACGTGAGATGGGTTTCCTGAATACAGCACACTGATGGGTCTTGACTCTTTATCCAACTTGCCAGTCTGTGTCTTTTAATTGCAGAATTTAGTCCATTTATATTTAAAGTTAATATTGTTATGTGTGAATTTGATCCTGTCATTATGATGTTAGCTGGTGATTTTGCTCATTAGTTGATGCAGTTTCTTCCTAGTCTCGATGGTCTTTACATTTTGGCATGATTTTGCAGCGGCTGGTACCGGTTGTTCCTTTCCATGTTTAGCGCTTCCTTCAGGAGCTCTTTTAGGGCAGGCCTGGTGGTGACAAAATCTCTCAGCATTTGCTTGTCTATAAAGTATTTTATTTCTCCTTCACTTATGAAGCTTAGTTTGGCTGGATATGAAATTCTGGGTTGAAAATTCTTTTCTTTAAGAATGTTGAATATTGGCCCCCACTCTCTTCTGGCTTGTAGGGTTTCTGCCGAGAGATCCGCTGTTAGTCTGATGGGCTTTCCTTTGAGGGTAACCCGACCTTTCTCTCTGGCTGCCCTTAACATTTTTTCCTTCATTTCAACTTTGGTGAATCTGACAATTATGTGTCTTGGAGTTGCTCTTCTCGAGGAGTATCTTTGTGGCGTTCTCTGTATTTCCTGAATCTGAACATTGGCCTGCCTTGCTAGATTGGGGAAGTTCTCCTGGATAATATCCTGCAGAGTGTTTTCCAACTTGGTTCCATTCTCCACATCACTTTCAGGTACACCAATCAGACGTAGATTTGGTCTTTTCACATAGTCCCATATTTCTTGGAGGCTTTGCTCATTTCTTTTTATTCTTTTTTCTCTAAACTTCCCTTCTCGCTTCATTTCATTCATTTCATCTTCCATCACTGATACCCTTTCTTCCAGTTGATCGCATCAGCTCCTGAGGCTTCTGCATTCTTCACGTAGTTCTCGAGCCTTGGTTTTCAGCTCCATCAGCTCCTTTAAGCACTTCTCTGTATTGGTTATTCTAGTTATACATTCTTCTAAATTTTTTTCAAAGTTTTCAACTTCTTTGCCTTTGGTTTGAATGTCCTCCCGTAGCTCAGAGTAATTTGATCGTCTGAAGCCTTCTTCTCTCAGCTCGTCAAAATCATTCTCCATCCAGCTTTGTTCTGTTGCTGGTGAGGAACTGCGTTCCTTTGGAGGAGGAGAGGCGCTCTGCATTTTAGAGTTTCCAGTTTTTCTGTTCTGTTTTTTCCCCATCTTTGTGGTTTTATCTACTTTTGGTCTTTGATGATGGTGATGTACAGATGGGTTTTCGGTGTAGATGTCCTTTCTGGTTGTTAGTTTTCCTTCTAACAGACAGGACCCTCAGGTGCAGGTCTGTTGGAATACCCTGCCGTGTGAGGTGTCAGTGTGCCCCTGCTGGGGGGTGCCTCCCAGTTAGGCTGCTCGGGGGTCAGGGGTCAGGGACCCACTTGAGGAGGCAGTCTGCCCGTTCTCAGATCGCCAGCTGCGTGCTGGGAGAACCACTGCTCTCTTCAAAGCTGTCAGACAGGGACACTTAAGTCTGCAGAGGTTACTGCTGTCTTTTTGTTTGTCTGTGCCCTGCCCCCAGAGGTGGAGCCTACAGAGGCAGGCAGGCCTCCTTGAGCTGTGGTGGGCTCCACCCAGTTGGAGCTTCCCGGCTGCTTTGTTTACCTAAGCAAGCCTGGGCAATGGCGGGCGCCCCTCCCCCAGCCTCGTTGCCGCCTTGCAGTTTGATCTCAGACTGCTGTGCTAGCAATCAGCGAGATTCCGTAGGCGTAGGACCCTCTGAGCCAGGTGTGGGATATAGTCTCGTGGTGCGCCGTTTCTTAAGCCGGTCTGAAAAGTGCAATATTCGGGTGGGAGTGACCCGATTTTCCAGGTGCGTCCGTCACCCCTTTCTTTGACTCGGAAAGGGAACTCCCTGACCCCTTGCGCTTCCCAGGTGAGGCAATGCCTCGCCCTGCTTCGGCTCGCACACGGTGCGCACACACACTGGCCTGCGCCCACTGTCTGGCACTCCCTAGTGAGATGAACCCGGTACCTCAGATGGAAATGCAGAAATCACCCGTCTTCTGCGTCACTCACGCTGGGAGCTGTAGACCGGAGCTGTTCCTATTCGGCCATCTTGGCTCCTCCTCCCTTCAGTTGCATTTCAAGTATCTTTTTCTGCTAAGAATTTGGCCTGTCTGAATTTCAAAAGGCATTTGGGCTTCAAACTTTAGTTAATGGTAAAAAAAAAAAATAACTAAATATTTAATTTCCTGAAATAGTTCCAAATTACAGAAACAGAGAGAAAGCTTAAATACCATAGAACAAAAATTCATAGAATAGAATTTATGAATCATGATTCATACACAAAAGACCAAACCTCTCAATGAATAACTGTATTGTTGACAGTTTGGGAGGAATTTTAATTTTGTTTTTTTTTCTCAAATAGTGAGATCAGAGTCGGAAAAGCCTTAACATCTCCATATTAGAGATTCTGTAACTCACATCACTTATGCCAGGCTCCAGCTACGTACTCTGAAAAGTATATTAAATCAGAATGAAAATTGTTCAGTAAAATTTCTCCTAGAGGTATAGTAAATATGATTGATTTAATACATCATTGAGATTCTACTGGAAAAATGGCATAAAACAGCAACATTCTGTTGCCATTTTATAACTTTCATTTTTGTAAAGTGACCATTAGCATAATATAGTAATATCATTATGACAATCTGCACAGATGAAAATATCTCAAGGCCAATATTACATTTTCATCAAGTAAATGACCATGTGTTTCAATAAACACGATTATGAATGTTAATATACCAACAGATTGAGTATTTTCATTTCTCAGCATCATTGTTTGTAGGGGAAAACAAATTAATCATCTTTGAGATAACAGGAGTGTAGACTTTTAGAACATGATCTGTTTCACTACAACTATTCTTGGTTTGCTGAATAAGAGTCAGGATTTTACTCCAGACTGTCCTCATCTGAGGTCATCTTATCTGTCCCCTTCTGAAGTAATCTTGTCATTATGTAAATACCTATGCAGCATTATCAATTTAGAGCCAGATAATTTAAGATGAATCACGTCTTTATTTTGATAAGTATCCACAGGACACCCATTTGTACAGTAGAAACATGCAAAGAAACCTCTTCCTCCTGCCTGTTCTATTGTCTTGGACAATTCCTGAATAAGCTGTTCTCCAGCCCTGCACACCTGCGAGCAGGCCAGGGACTCTGTGGACCCAGCCATGCCCTTTCTGTCACCAAGGCCACATTTGTGGTCAGGAGGCAAGTGAGATGGTCATCACTTTCACTTAAGTCCTTTTTAGCAATAGGCATGTTAGGCATTGGAATGGATGTGCAAGCGAAATGGACACAAACCAAAAATGGAAGAGGCAACCTGTCTATGGCCTTACCATCCCGAATATGCCTGATCTCAGAAGCTAAGCAGGGTTGGTTTGGCTAGTACATGGATGGGAGAAGAGATAACTAGCTGAGACTTCAGTATCTAGCTTATAGGCTGCTTCAGCCTTCAAGCACAGCTTAATTATATGTATTACTGGGGAAGATCCTTTTCTGGAAAGAGGCAACATTTTAAGACCATTCAAGATTAACCTTTACTTGAGCAAAAAGAAATGTTTCTACTTTCAAATGCTTTTTGGTAAAAATCTTTAAAAAATAATAAATGCTTCAAAGAGAATAAAACAGCTAGGAATCCAACTTATAAGGGATGTGAAGGACCTCTTCAAGGAGAACTACAAACCACTGCTCAGCGAAATAAAAGAGGACACAAACAAATGGAAGAACATTCCATGCTCATGGATAGGAAGAATCAATATCGTGAAAATGGCCATACTGCCCAAGGTAACTTATAGATTCAGTGCCATCCCAATCAAGCTACCAATGACTTTCTTCACAGAATTGGAAAAAACTGCTTTAAAGTTCATATGCAACCAAAAAAGAGCCCGCATTGCCAAGACAATCCTAAGCCAAAAGAACAAAGCTGGAGGCATCACACTACCTGACTTCAAACCATACTACACTACAAGGCTACAGTAACCAAAACAGCATGGTACTGGTGCCAAAACAGATATATAGACCAATGGAACAGAACAGAGGCATCAGAAATAACACCACACATCTACAACCATCTGATCTTTGACAAACTTGACAAAAACAAGAAATGGGGAAAAGATTCCCTGTTTAATAAATAGTGCTGGGAAAACTGGCTAGCCATATGTAGAAAGCTGAAACTGGATCCCTTCCTTACACCTTATACAAAAATTAATTCAAGATGGATTAAAGACTTAAATGTTAGACCTAAAACCATAAAAACTCTAGAAGAAAACCTAGGCAATACCATTCAGGACATAGGCATGGGCAAGGACTTCATGTCTAAAACACCAAAAGCAATGGCAACAAAAGCCAAAATTGACAAATGGGATCTAATTAAACTAAAGAGCTTCTGCAGAGCAAAAGAAACTACCAGCAGAGTGAACAGGCAACCTACAGAATGGGAAAAAATTTTTGCAATCTACCCATCTGACAAAGGGCTAATATCCAGAATCTATAAAGAACTCAAACAAATTTACAAGAAAAAACAAACAACCCCATCAACAAGTGGGCGAAGGACATGAACAGACACTTCTCAAAAGAAGACATTTATGCAGCCAACAGACACATGAAAAAATGCTCATCATCACTGGCCATCAGAGAAATGCAAATCAAAACCACAATGAGATACCATCTCACACCAGTTAGAATGGCGATCATTAAAAAGTCAGGAAACAACAGGTGCTGGAGAGGATGTGGAGAAATAGGAACACTTTTACACTGTTGGTGGGACTGTAAACTAATTCAACCATTGTGGAAGACAGTGTGGTGATTCCTCAGGGATCTAGAACTAGAAATACCATTTGACCCAGCCATCCCATTACTGGGTATATACCCAAAGGATTATAAATCATGCTGCTATAAAGACACATGCACACGTATGTTTATTGCAGCACTATTCACAATAGCAAAGACTTGGAACCAACCCAAATATCCATCAATGATAGACTGGATTAAGAAAATGTGGCACATATACACCATGGAATACTATGCAGCCATAAAAAATGTCCTTTGCAGGGCCATGGAGAAGCTGGAAACCATCATTCTCAGCAAACTATCACAAGGACAGAAAACCAAACACCACGTGTTCTCACTCATAGGCGGGAATTGAACAATGAGAACACTTGGACACAGGAAGGGGAACATCACACACCAAGGCCTGTCGTGGGGTGGGGGGAGGGGGGAAGGATAGCATTAGGAGATATACCTAATGTAAATGACGAGTTAATGGGTGCAGCACACCAACATGGCACATGTATACATATGTAATAAACCTGCACGTTGTGCATATGTACCCTAGAACTTAAAATATAATAAATAATAAGAATAATAATAAATTATTTTTCTGATTTGTTTAAAAAAAATCACTGTATTCCTTGGCTGCAGCACAGCAGCAAATGTAGCTAGTATAAGAACTACTTATCCTGGGTCCCAAAATATAGTTGCTTGAAAAAGTCTATATTGCGACCTTAATTTTTAGTGCTTTGCCTCTTTGGGAACTCCAGTGTGAAGAGAGGTATGCACAACCTCACGGTCCTCAGGTTGTTATCACATGGCCGAACACTTTACAACATGAATTCATGAATTATGTAGTTAATTATTACATCAAAGAAGATCTCGCCGCACTTATCACAAACACTCTTAGTTATAGCCCCACAACCTTAATTGTTATTGCCAAGAATTTCTTTCCATCCACTCTTCCTATTTTGCAAACTACAATTACAGAGGAGGTATGAATGAAAAGTTTTCTGTATCATTCCAAAAATATGTTAAGATGTTCTGAAAAGTTCTGATTCCTTGATCTACGAGTGACTTAGCAACATGATTAGATGAGACAAAACCCATAGCTACACATCTTTCTCTAGAAGTCTTAATGTCGACTCTTGACAAAATTTCAGATCCATTCAAAATTTCAAATACGTTAAAATAAAAAAATTAACACTCTAATGTTGAGATTGAGTAGACTATACAAAGCCTTCCTTAAAGATTACATTTTTTGCATTTTCTAGTTTTCATTCATTGCAAGAATGTTTGTAATTGCTCAGTGAATGGCTAATTTCAAATCTGTACCAGGTAATTCTCACATCTCTGTCATCTCACGGCTGACACCTATTGATTTTCTTTCTTTTTCTTTCATTCACTTTGAGATCTTCCTGGTCCTTGACATTGTGAGTGACTCTTGGTTGAAACCTAGACATTTTAGATATTATTTTATGAGACTACGGATCCTCTGCTGGTTGAAACCTAGACATTTAAGATATTATTTTGTAAGACTATGGATCTGCTGCTGTCATCCTCTCTCTGCTTTTCTTTTTCTTCTCCACTTACTCCTACCCCTTTAATCCAGTGCTCAAGTAGGACCAGGGAAACATTAAAAGTTGGCCCACAGATGGAAGGAACATTGTACTTCATGTGTCACATTTAAATTCTCCAGGAAGAAAGGGCTTGTCAATAAAGTGTCTTTTTAAGTCACAGATGGCAGTAAGGCTGTGCTACTCCCACCTTTTCTTTCTATTCATTGTCTCCTAATGTCATTTATTTTCTGAAGTATCTAAGTAGCACCACCACTATCCAAGACTGACAGTCTCCATTTATATTCAATCATAACTCACTAGTGAAGATTAATTGGGGAGGAGACAAGTCTGAATTAGAAATCACCAAAGTAGTATTTTAAAAGAAGTGCAGATTTATTGCATTCAATTCTAGACCTAATTCAGAGACATGGCTAGAACTGTTACGAAGGAAATGTCTTAAACGGCCTGATTTAAAGCATAGAGACAACCCATTTGTACATTAGTAGAAAGTAATGTGTTTTAAATCTTTAACAATGGTTTTCTTGAGTAGATTAACTACCGCTTTAAAAATCCTATTTATTTATCTCCTACACTAAGTAAATTTCAACACAACCCTTTTCTGAATTTTCACAAATACTACAGGAGAGGAATCTAAATTAGAAGCTCGATTATATATGTTATTTCTGTTTAAAAGGCACTAATTAAGCTGCTTTGCCCTGTGAGCACTAGAATTTGGGTTGGCACAGTCATTTCATAATCTGAACTCTAACACAATTATTTCTGGATGAACCATTGCCATAAAATTTAACAGGCTATATTAGCTGTTGGTTGGCATTGATGATCTATAAATACTAACCTTTATCTCTTGATATTTTTTCTCATTCTTTTTTATGGTTAATTTAGAATTTCACTGATTAGGCATTTGCTTATATAAAGTGCTTTGTTAAGACTCAAAACATTTTTAAGCATGTTTATGCTGCAAAGTGAATGAGTGTTGCAAAGTTTGACTTAGTGTAGAAAGATTGTAAGACTAGAAGTTACTTTTAGAAAACCTAAACTATCTTGTAGAAAAATTATCTCACGGTTTTTAAAAATGGCGTTCAAAATTCAGAGAGAACAATTCAAGCTTGTTGCTAGTGGAAAGTTAACAGTGGTTTAGATCAGTTGTACACACTGTGCAAGATGTTTATGTGCTGACAGCTTGTGTGCCTACCTCCACATCAATTCGGCCATTATACCAGCTAATTCTTCTATCTAGGATTCATAACATAAAAATGTGCTTCCTCTTTCTGAGGGAAAGTTGACTATGGGTAGAGAAGAGTTGCCGTTATTTCACCTTGAAGAATAACAATATAAGCTCATGTGCAATGAAATAGCAGACTTATTGGAAATGATTACTAGCTTCTTGAAAGCAAAGAAGTATATATTTTTTAACTTCATAAGGATTTAGAAGTTGATCATTCATCATCCCCTTCTGCACTCTGAGTGCTGAACCAACTGAAAAAGAGATGGAAGCAAGTGTCAGACAGAAATCAAAACAGTAGCTCAGACTGTGTTTCTCTTGTGACATAGGCCCTTCAAACCCTACTTTTTGAAAGAGTGGCTAGGATACATGAAGTCATTACAGTATCAACTGCATACCCACAACATTTAGAAAATATAAAACTCCCCAGCCCCTACTTCAAGGTTATGTTCTCAGAACCAGATATATAGTGCAGTCTAGCCCTGCATCATCCAGCACAGTGGTTCCTAGCCACATGTGACTGTTGAGCACTCGTAATATGGCTACTGTGACAGAGGAATTGAATTTTCATTGTGTTTTAATTAATTTAAAATTATATTTAAAAACTGATTCTCAATTCACTATTGGAAGACTTTGAAGTCTACTTGAAACAATTTCAGGTATGTGCATCTACTTTTTCAACCATAAGCTACATGGAACCTAAGTATAAATTAGTTATTTCTAATTAGAATAATTAATTCCATTAAAATGAAAAGGCCAAATTGAGATATGCTCTCAGTACAAAATACATAAGAATTTTGAAGACACCGCCCAAGAAAGAGAATATAAAATAGCCCATTTATAATTGTTTACATGTTGAAAGAATTGTATTTTGGATATACAGGATTAAATAAAACACGAAAATTGACTTTTAAAAATTCATCTGTTTCTTTTTACTTCTTTAACACGATTACTAGAAAATGTTTAATTACATATGCGGCTCACATTGTATTTCTATTAGACTCACTCTACTAGAGTGTGATGTAGATTCACCCTCTAGTTGGTGTGTAAAAGTCATGGTGGAGATTTCATTGTATCTAGGGGAAGAAGAACAAACTAATGAAGGGGGAGAAGGAGAAAACCTTCTGACTCCCAGGAAGCCAACTGGTCTGGGCCAGTTTGTGTCTCTGCATGACTTCTGAGCCTGAACTTAAGTGGAAGAAATCTCCCACCAAGAAGTTACTTACATTGCCAGGTGTTTGTTTCTTCTCAGACCTAGGATTACTGAGCTCTGAGTGTCATCTTACCTGGATGCTTCTTCTCCTACTCTTGTTTATTAAAAGCTGTTACTTCTCTAGGCTTTGATTAACATTAACTATTAAAATTACAGTGTAGGCTCGGCATGGTGGCTCACACCTATAATCCCAGCACTTTGGGAGGCCAAAGTGGACAGATCACGTGAGATCAGGAGTTTGAGACCAGTCTGGCCAACATGGTAAAACCCGGTCTCTACTAAAAAAAAAATAAGTACAATTGCAAAACAAATAAATAAATAAATCTGCAGTGTAAAACTCTCTTTTACTCTCTATTTTCCTATTGCAACATAATTCAGCTTTCCCTGGGTAGCCATTCCTTAATCCTAGGTGAGAAAAAATATATATTAAAGATGAAACATCTACTAATGCCCAGCCCTGCAAAAAACTTATACTCCCATTTCTGGTGGAGGCAACATTGAAGGTTGGCTCTCTGGTGTCTAAAAAGATGTTCTGCCCATGTCGATTTGAACACCTATTTTTTGTAAAAGGCCTTGCCCTTTCCACATGGACTATGAAGGACCCACAGAAGTGAAACTGTGTCCCCAGTCTAAACTCCCTGGGAGAACCTCTCCTGACTCAATAAAGAATTGGTTTTTCTGCCCAAGAACAGAGCTCTGCTTGATTAGTTTGAGGTCGAGGAGACCACCTGGATCACCAAGATAAATGCTTTTTCTTGCTAACCCAACGCAGAAACAGGTACATTTCTCAGTTCTTCAACCGGCCGACCCTGCTGCCTCCTGGAGCCCATATAGGGTTTCTTGTTCAGCCATAGTTCTAGACCTTGGCTGCATTTTGGAATCACCTTTCTAGTCTCGAGCATAAAATAAGGCCCAGAGCCCAGGCCAGACTCACTACATGAGCATTTTCAGCTACTAAGGAGAACTTGAAGAAAAGAAATTGGCCAAGCAGCGGACTCATGTGTGCCCTGGCACTTTTCCTATCTCACTAATCGCCCTTCTCATATCATAACTCACCCTTCTCATGAAAAAATAGAATGAATAAATGTGGACGGGGAAATGCCGAAACACCCTCCTCATAACTTGCACACGAATCCTCCTCTATGTTCGAAGGCAGGGAAAGAGAGAAAATGGTACCAAAGATAGCCTGTGTGCAGTACTTGAGGCAAGGCTTTGCATGTTTCAAGCGCCCAATACTTATCTGTTGACACAAAGAGTGCCGTAATTATGTTAGAATTAGTTTGGCTTTTTTTTTTTTTCTGCTCTAGAAACATTTTGTTCGTATAAGTCAAAAATTAGAAAGAAAGTTTGGAATTTAATTTCTTATCAGGCAATAGCCAAGGGAAAATATTTCTGTTAAAGGAGTAATCATACAGAACAGCTAAAATTCCAGGAATAATAAAACTCAGGAAATTTTGGGGGGAGTGGGGTGGTTAGGTTTTGGAAAATATTTGTCAGTAATATTTGAAAATCCAGATCTTCCTTAAAAGTCTACAGATTTGAGTGTACCCCTCACCCAAGGAAATCTGTCTCAAGAGACAGAATCAGTCCATTTTTCAGGGTTCCCCAGGAAAGTTTGTCACAGCCAGACATAAATGTGATGAAAGGCAGGAAAGGGAGAGACAGAGGCTGGGACAAAGAAGATGACAGACTTTATTGGTAACATTAGGCCAGAATGATAACCATAACCCAGGCTGTGTTTTCAAAGTTGTTGTTGTAAACTAAATGTTTTGGTATATTTGTCAGAACTTTTTATCTTGGTTAGTTTAATTAAAATAAAGTCGGTAGCCAAAATAAAATTATGTAAAGGTTAATCAGGATGTTTCCTGTATTTTTTGACATAAACCAAATTAAGTAGTTATTTTTCTAACACATGGAATTCTTACATTTGTCTCCGTGCAAGATGTATGTTAATGTTAGTTGTTTTACTACATTTGAAATTCAGTCTTTTAAAATGGGTTTTCTCTGTTCTCCTCCAAGGCTATTTGAGCATCTAAATATCTACATATTACATGGCTGTTGGCAAAAGTTTTCAAATGCTATTCACTCAATTTGAAAAAAATTTGCACTTCTTATAAAGCTAGTATGAATGTGACTCTAAAATCTCACCAATTGGCACTAATCAGGTTCATCATCAAAATAAACCTGATAAATATTAAAACTAAATTGTTGAGTTGGTTTTGTAATGTCAGGATTTTCAAGACAACAAATGGCCAAGAACTTGGCGTCAGAGGAAGTCCTGCTTTCGGTTGATTCTTGATGCTGATTGAGAACAGGCCTCCTAAGCACTGATGGGAATATTTGCCTCTAAGAAGTACAGCCCATTTACCACTTAGAAGCTAAAGTTCAGAAATAAAACTCTGACACAACAAAATATCAATAAAGCCAGATAGAGCACTAGAAAAATTCGTAAATCTCTAATATGAATATACATCTCTAATACAAATTACATTCAAGCAACAGTGATTTGCCTCGGCTGCAAGTAATTATGTACCTATTGTTAAAATAGTGTGAGTCACAGCAAGAACATGGACAATATCAATTCCCTTCAGAGACTGGACTCTGTGAAGCCTTTCCAGTTCTAACTACACAGTACGATCTTTTTAAAACTATCAGCTTTGCACTCATTTCAGACCCAAGTATGTTGAACTGGATGAGGTATTACTTTCAAGGACAAGGACTGGACGTTAATCAAAATGAAAATACTCTTTTTTTCTTTTTTGAGATGGAGTCTCACTCTGTTGCCCAGGCTAGAGTGCAGTGGCGTGATCTTGGCTTACTGCAACCTCCACCTCCTGGGTGCAAGCAATTCTCTGCCTCAGCCTCCTGAGTATCTGGGATGACAGGCGCCTGCCACCATGCCCAGCTAACTTTTGTATTCTTAGTAGAGACAGGGTTTCATCATACTGGCCAGGCTGGTCTCCAATTCCTGACCTCAGGTGATCCGCCTGCCTCGGCCTCCCAAAGTGCTGGGATGACAGGCGTAAGCCACTGCGCCCGGCCTAATCAAAATGAAAATACTTTCAACATGGAAATAAAGCTTTCCAGTGCTAAAGCTTCTGTTTTCTTAGAGCAAAAGAGCTCCACTAAGAAGAAAACTGAATGTTATTGAGATGTTGTTTAATAAGTTCCTGGTATGTAGATTGAATTGTGTCACTGCCAAAGAAGATAGGTTGAATTCTTAACTCCTGGAATCTGTGAATGTGACCTTATTTGGGAGTTGCAGATGTAATCAAGTTCGGATGAGGTCATACTGAAGTAAAGTGGGCCCTAATTCAATGACTGGTATCCTCATAAGAAAGACATGTAGACATAGCCACACAGGGAGGGCGCCAGGTGAGGACAAAGTTAGAGTCTAAAAGCTACGTGTACAAGCCAAGAGGAATTAAGGATTGCTGGCAACTACCAGGAACTAGTAAGATGCATGGAAATATTCTCCCCTAGAGACTTCAGAGAGAGAGCACAGCCCTGCTGGCACCTGCATTTTGGACTTTTAGTCTCCAGAACTGTGAGAAAATTAAGTTATTTTGTTTGAAGCTACCCAGTTTATGGTAATTTGTTTCGGCAACCCTGGGAAACTTCTATATAAGGCTATGTCAGAACTCCTCTTATCTCTTAGGAAACCAAAGTTCTATCCTTAAGCGAATATAAGATGTAAGTTCACAGATAACTCAGAATGTCCTCCCGCTTCTCAAGAACTAGTCCTGGGTTTGCATTATCCTTATAAATGCCCTAAGATGATTTTTTCAAGCATATGTTACCAAGAAGTAGGGAAGTTTCAGCATTAACAATACATAGCTTCGTAACAATTAGCCATCTGTTTATAATGCTGTTAGGGATCGACAGCATCTCAATGGAAGCAGGGAAAACAACAGAAATATCATATCTGCCAAGTTCTAGTCATCTGTTATGTTACATAGTAATTTGTCATCTCATGAGATCACCAAGGAGAGAAAAAAGCCATGCCGTGCTACAAAATAAACTCTGTAAAGCAGGTAGTTTAATAGCAAATTAATGATGTGCTGACAAGATCAAGACCAAAAAAAAAAAAAAAAAACATGTCATATTTTCTGCAGTGCAGCTAATAATGCAAGTTTGTAAGCTGTCTCACAAGAAGGTAGTATTTATTTTTTCCAAGGAGCTATTTGAAAACCAGAGAGTTAACATATTTTAAGACAGTTTTCCTCAATGTCAGTTTATTTTAAATATTACTAGAGTTCAGATATTATCTTGCTATCACTCTTAATATCCATCTTAATTATGGGAGTCCCTGTGGTAAAGTCTAACCTCTTTCAATCTCATCTCTTGACTTGATGATTCATTTCAAAGAATGTGTTAGTACAATGGGGCTTCTTCTCAAGAGCAAAGTAACTTTGAATAAAATTTACAAAAGTAAAAGAAATAAAGCAGATGGCAAATATTGCCCACAGAATTGGTTATAGTATCATTATCCATTAAGAAATGAATTTTGTACAATAGATGATTTAGGTCTTACTTATCTGTCTCTCATAAATATGTATATATGCAATATTAAGATAGATATACTGATATTGCAAACTGGCAATAAAAAAGGTGGCTTTAATATTTCGTATGGTTTGGCTCTGTGTCCACACCCAAACCTCATCCTGAATTGTAATTTCCATGTGTCAAGGGAGGGACCTGGTGGGAGGTGATTGGGTCATGGGGGCGGTTTCCCCCATGCTGTTCTCAGGATGGTGAGTGAGTTCTCACAAAATCTAATACTTTGAAGGGATTTGGAGACTGGGTGCAGTGGCTCATGCCTGTAATCTCAACACTTTGGAAGGCCAAGGTGGGCAGATCACCTGAGGTCAGGAGTTTGAGACCAGCCTGAACAACATGCTGAAACCCCATCTCTACTAAAAATACAAAAATTAGCTGGGCACGGTGGTCTGCGCCTGTAATCCCAGTGTTCAGGAGGCTGAGGCAGAAGAATCGTTTGGACCAAGGAGGTGGAGATTGCAGTGAGCAGAGAACACACCACTGCACTCCAACCTGGGCAACAGAGTGAGACTCCGTCTCAACAACAACAAAAAAAATTAGCCATGTGTGGTGGTGGGTGTCTATAATCCCAGCTACTCGGGAAGCTGAGGCATGAGAATCACTTGAACCCAGGAGGCAGAGGTTGTGGTGAGCCGAGATCACACCACTGCACTCCAGCCTAGGCAACAGAGTGAGACTCTGTCTCAAAAAAAAAAAAAAGTGTTTGGCAGTTTCCTCCTTGCTCTCTCTCTCTCTTTCCTGCCACCATGTAAGACATGCCTTGATTCCCCTTCTACTTCTGCCATGACTGTAAATTTCCTGATGCCTCCTCAGCCATGAGGAACTGGGAGTCAACTAAACCTCTTTCTTTATAAATTACCGAGTCTCAGGTCATTCATGGCAGTGTGAAAATGCACTAATACAATATTTGGAAACTCTATGCAACAATACAGGGTTCATATATTGTCCAGCCTGAATTAAAGTGCTATGTGTTATCTCTCCTATCAAACTATCTTTAAGATGATGACAAAGGGATTTCAGGTGACAACTTGGAATGAAAGATACTGACCCACTGTTTGCTTTCCTGTAGCTTTTCCTCAAGTGGATAAAAACAATTACAGCTTTTTTTCACTAGTCTACTAAATTGAACTCTTAATATCACCCCAGCTGCTTTTCTTGTAGGTGTTCCTTTCTATGTCAACCACACTTCTGTTTGTGATAAGGATTTTCACCTCATCTGATGAAAAGAGCAGTCTACTGTGAGAAAGAACTAAGCTTCTACTCCCAAAGCACAAGCAGTTTCTGTCAAAGCAGGAATACAAATATGGTCCCTTGGAACCTAGCCCATTGCCTTTCCAACATAATGGTGGTTATTGAGCCATCAGACCATGCTTTCAGCAGATACTTGAACTTCCACTGTGTATGAATCATTATATTAGTGTAATAGAGCTGTAGAGATAAATAAGACCTAGCCCATGCTTATAAATGCCTCATAACACAAAGGACAGAGAAATTATGCATAAATAAATGCAAAATAAATGCAGATAAATCTCCATGGCTGTTCAGTTACACAGGCATCCAACACATCCATTGAGTATTTACCACATACCAACTTTGTCCTAAAGACTGATGATGACACAAATTGAACCAGATTTAGGCAACCACCAATCTCACAAAGTTTGCAATCCAATTAGAAGAGAAAAGAATTTAAAACAGCCATTGCATTATAGAATCATTAATGCAATGAAAGGAAGATTCCCAAGTACTAAGAGAAGGCAACGCTGGGACACCTAGCCTAATCTAAAGGGCCCAAAATAAATATCCTTAAAGTGGCATATAAATTAAGACATTACCAAGTGTGGTGGCTCATGGCTGTAATCCCAGCACTTTGGGAGGCTGAGGCATGAGGATCGCTTGAGGTCAGGAGTTCGAGAGCAGCCTGGGCAACATGGTAAAACCCCATGTCTAATAAAAATATAAAAATTACCTGGGCATGGTGGTGTACTCGGGAGGCTAAGGTGGAAGAATTGTTCGAACCCAGGAGGCAGAAGTTGCAGTGAGCCAGGATCGTGCCATTGCACTCCAACTTGGGCAATAGAGTGAAACTCCATCTCACAAAAAAAAAAAAAAAAAAAAAAAATTAAGACACGAAGGATAGGAGTTAGTTAGCCAATATGGTATTTTGTGGTAATGCAGCTATAATCTAATCACCGATGAAACAGTATTCCAGCAAACCACTTCAAGGAAGCTTTGAAAACCGACCACATCCTTTTGGCCTGTCCATCATCAAAAAAGATAATAGCCCGACAAACCATGGGTTATAAAATGCCTGACACATAACTGTGATTACAGCATTAGAGGTTTAAAATGCAACTAGGAAAACTTGAAAATATAAGCACCAATTTCAAATCACTAGTCATTTGCATCAATTTCAACCATTCCCCCGTACTCCTCCAAGCATTCTATTTGGCTTGTGTCGTATCCAAGACCATCCGAAATCACAGAATAAATTTCCTATAACATGCATCTTTCGTGTGCATAATAATGCATACTAACAATTTACAATTTGTTATAATGTCCTATAATGTACTTCTTTATTGCATCTGTGTGACTAAAGAGGGCAGTCGGGAGAAAATCTAATAGGAGAACTTCCTAGGGTTGAGGTTCTTCAGCTTAAAATCTTTATAACTGGGACCCCTTACATTAGCACTCAGCTTTGGCCAGTATGTCTGAGACCACTCATATATATATACATATATACACACACACACATATACACATACACACACATATGATTGTTTTGTCATTGTACCTTGTAAAAAGGTATTTGTTACCAAAATGATAAAAGGAAGTGAACTTTAAAAAATACATGTCTTATTACTGTCATTTGGAGTATTCCTCAAACCACTGATTGTATATGATATAGCTACCTCTAGGAATTCAAGCTCAAGTTATTCACAACACTAAAGATACAAACTGATTTCCAAAGGTATTATCCAAGAAATTAACCGTTTATAAGGGAAGCAAAGTATCTTTCCATTTCTTTTATATTTTTATATATATATATTTTAAGTTCTAGGGTACATGTTCACAACGTGCAGGTTTGATACAGAGGTATACATATGCCATGTTGGTTTGCTCCACCCATCAACTCGTCATTTATTTTAGGTATTTCTCCTAATGCTATTCCTCCCCCAGGCCCCCACTCCCTGACAGGCCCCAGTGTGTGATGTTCCCTGCCCTGTGTCCAAGTGTTCTCATTGTTCATTTCCCACCTATAAGTGAGAACATGTGGTGTTTGGTTTTCTGTCCTTGTGATAGTTTGCTGAGAATGATGGTTTCCAGCTTCTCCACGGCCCTGCAAAGAACATGAACTCATCCTTTTTTATGACTGCGTAGTATTCCATGGGGTATATATGCCATATTTTCTTAATCCAATCTATCATTGATGGACATTTGGGTTGGTTCCAAGTCTCTGCTATTGTGAAGAGTGCCACAATAAACATACGTGTGCATGTGTCTTTACAGGAGCATGATTTATAATCCTTTTGGTATATACCCAGTAATGGGATCACTGGGTTAAATGGTATTTCTAGTTCTAGATCCTTAAGGAATTACCGCACTGTCTTCCACAATGGTTGAACTAATTTAGACTCCCACCAACAGTGTAAAAGCATTTCTATTTCTCCACATCCTTTCCAGCATCTGTTGTTTCCTGACTTTTTAATGATCACCATTCTAACTGGTGTGAGATGGTATCTCATTGTAGTTTTGATTTGCATTTCTCTGATGGTCAGTGATGATGAGCATTTTTTCATGTGTCTGTTGGCTGCAGAAATATCTTGTTTTGAGAAGTGTCTGTTAATATCCTTTGCCCGCTTTTTGATGGGGTTGTTTTTTTTCTTGTAAATTTGTTTCAGTTCTTCGTAGATTCTGGATATTAGCCCTTTGTCAGATGGGTAGATTGCAAAAATTTTCTCCCATTCTGTAGGTTGCCTGTTCACTCCAATGATAGTTTCTTTTGCCATGCAGAAGCTCTTTGGTTTAATCACATCTGATTTGTCTATTTTGGCTTTTGTTGCCATTGCTTTTGGTGTTTTAGACATGAAGTCCTTGCCCATGCCTATGTCCTGAATGGTATTGCCTAGGTTTTCTTCTGGGGTTTTTATGGTTTCAGGTCTAACATTTAAGTCTTTAATCCATCTTGAATTAATTTTTGTATATGATGTAAAGAAAGGATCCAGTTTCAGCTTTCTACATATGGCTAGCCAGTTTTCCCAGCACCATTTATTAAATAGGGAATCCTTTCCCCATTTCTTGTTTTTGTCAGGTTTGTCAAAGATCCAATGGTTATAGATGTGTGGTGTTATTTCTGATGCCTCTGTTCTGTTCCATTGGTCTATATATCTGTTTTGGCACCAATACCATGCTGTTTTGGTTACTGTAGCCTTGTAGTATAGTTTGAAGTCAGGTAGCATGATGCCTCCAGTTTTGGTCTTTTGGCTTAGGATTTTCTTGGCAATGAGGGGTCTTTTTTGCTTCCATATGAACTTTAAAGTAGTTTTTTCCAATTCTGTGAAGAAAGTCATTGGTAGCTTGATGGGGATGGCATTGAATCTGTAAATTACCTTGGGCAGTATGGCCATTTTCATGATATTGATTCTTCCTATCCATGAGCATGGAATGTTCTTCCATTTGTTTGTGTCCTCTTTTATTTCATTGAGCAGTGTTTTGTAGTTCTCCTTGAAGAGGTCCTTCACATCCCTTGTAAGTTGGATTCCTGGGTATTTTATTTTCTTTGAAGCAATTGTGAATGGGAGTTCACTCATGATTTGGCTCTCTGTTTGTCTGTTATTGGTGTATAGGAATGCTTGATTTTTGCACATTGATTTTGTATCCTGAGACTTTGCTGAAGTTGCTTATCAGCTTAAGGAGATTTGGGGCTGAGACGATAGGGTTTTCTAAATATACAATCATGTCATCTGCAAACAGGGACAATTTGACTTCCTCTTTTCCTAATTGAATGCCCTTTATTTCTTTCTCCTGCCTGATTGCCCTGGCCATAATTCCCAACACTATGTTGAATAGGAGTGATGAGAGAAGACATCCTTGTCTTGTGCCAGTTTTCAAAGGGAATGCTTCCAGTTTTTGCCCATTCAGTATGATATTGGCTGTGGGTTTGTCATAAATAGCTCTTATTATTTTGAGATACGTTCCATCAATACCTAGCTTATTGGGAGTTTTTAGCAGGAAGGGCTGTTGAATTTTGTCAAAGGCCTTTTCTGCATCTATTGAGATTATCATGTGTTTTTTGTCATTGATTCTGTTTATGTGATGGATTACATTTATTGATTTGCATATGTTGAACCAGCCTTGCATCCCAGGGATGAAGCTGACTTGATCATGGTGGATAAGCTTTTTGATATGCTGCTGGATTCGGTTTGCCAGTATTTTATTGAAGATTTCCCCATCGATGCTTACCAGGGATATTGGTCTAAAATTCTCTTTTTTTGTTGTCTCTCTGCCAGCCTTCGGTATCAGGATCATGTTGGCCTCATAAAGTGAGTTAGGGAGGATTCCTTCTTTTTCTATTGATTGGAATAGTTTCAGAAGGAATGATACCAGCTCCTCTTTGTACCTCTGGTAGAATTCGGCTGTGAATCTGTCTGGTTCTGGACTTTTTTTGATTGGTAGGCTATTAATTATTGCCTCAATTTCAGAGCCTGTTATTGGTCTATTGAGAGATTCAATTTCTTCCTGGTTTAGTGTTGGGAGGGTGTATGTGTCCAGGAATCTATCCATTTCTTCTAGATTTTCTAGTTTATTTGCGTAGAAGTGTTTATAGTATTCGCTAATGATAGTTTTTATTTCTGTGGGATCGGTGGTGATATCCCCTTTATAATTTTTTATTGCATCTATTTGATTCTTCTCTGTTTTCATTAGTCTTGCTAGTGGTCTATCAATTTTGTTGATCTTTTCAAAAAACCAGCTCCTGGTTTCATTGATTTTTTGAAGGGTTTTTTTGTGTCTCTATCTCTTTCAGTTCTGCTCTGATCTTAGTTATTTCTTGCCTTCTGCTAGCTTTTGAATGTGTTTGCTCTTGCTTCTCTAGTTCTTTTAATTGTGATGTTAGGATGTCGATTTTAGATCTTTCCTGCTTTCTCTTGTGGGCATTTAGTGCTATAAATTTCCCTCTATACACTGCTTTAAATGTGTCCCAGAGATTCTGGTACGTTGTGTCTTTGTTCTCATTGGTTTCAAAGAACATCTTTATTTCTGCCTTCATTTCGTCATGTACCCAGTAGTCATTCAGGAGCAGGTTGTTCAGTTTCCATGTAGTTGTGTGATTTTGAATGAGTTTCTTAATGCTGAGTTCTAAATTGATTGCACTGTGGTCTGAGAGACTGTTGTCATTTCTGTTCTTTTCTATTTGCTGAGGAGTGTTTTACTTCCAATTTTGTGGTCATTTTTAGAATAAGTGTGATGTGGTGCTGAGAAAAATGTGTATTCTGTTGATTTGGGGAGGAGAGTTCTGTAGATGTCTATTAAGTCTGCTTAATGCAGAGCTGAGTTCAAGTCCTGGATATCCTTGTTAACCTTCTGTCTCATTGATCTGTCTAATATTGACAGTAGGGTGTTAAAGTCTCCCATTATTATTGTGTGGGAGTATAAGTCTCCTTGTAGGTCTCTAAGGACTTGCTTTGTGAATCTGGGTGCTCCTGTTTTGGTTGGGTGCGTATATATTTCGGATAGTTAGCTCTTCTTTTTGAATTGCTCCCTTTACCATTATGAAATGGCCTTCTTTGCCTCTTTTGATCTTTGTTGGTTTAAAGTCTGTTTTATCAGAGACTAGGATTGCAACCCCTGTTTTTTTTTTGTTTTTTGTTGTTGTTGTTGTTTTGCTTTCCATTTGCTTGGTAGATCTTCCTCCATCCCTTTATTTTGAGCCTATGTACGTCTTTGCATGTGAGATGGGTCTCCTGAATACAGCACGCTGATAGGTCTTGACTCTTTATCCAATTTGCCAATATGTGTCTTTTAACTGGGGCTTTTAGCCCATTTACATTTAAGGTTAATATTGTTATGTGTGAATTTGACCCTCTCATTATTATGTTAGCTGTTTATTTTGCTCATTAATTGATGCAGTTTCTTCACAGCATCGATGGTCTTTACCACTTGGCATGTTTTTGTAGTGGATGATACCGGTTGTTTCTTTCCATGTTTAGTGCTTCCTTCAGGAGCTCTTGTAGGGCAGGCCTGGTGGTGACAAAATCTCTCAGCATTTGCTTGTGTGTAAAGGATTTTATTTCTGCTTCACTTATGAAGCTTATTTTGGCTGGATATGAAATTCTGGGTTGAAAATTCTTTTCTTTAAGAACGTTGAATATTGACCCCAACTCTCTTCTGGCTTTTGGGTTTCTGCTGAGAGATCCGCTGTTTGTCTGATGGGCTTCCCTTTGTGGGTAACCCGACCTTTCTTTCTGGCTGCCCTTAATATTTTTTATTTCATTTCAACCTTGGTGAATCTGACGGTTATGTACCTTGGAGTGGCTCTTCTTGAGGAGTATCTTTGTGATGTTCTCTGTATTTCCTGAATTTGAATGTTGACCTGCCTTGCTAGGTTGGGGAAGTTCTCCTGGATAATATCCTGAAGAGTGTTTTCCAACTTGGTTGTATTCTCCCCATTACTTTTAGGTACACCAATCAAACGTAGATTTGGTCTTTTCACATAGTCCCATGTTTCTTGGAGGCTTTCTTCATTTCTTTTTACTCTCTTTTCTCTAACCTTGTCATCTCACTTTATTTCATTAATTTGATCTTCAGTCACTAATAACCTTTCTTCTACTTGATCGAATCAGCTGTTGAAGATTGTGCATGCATCACAAAGTTCGCGTGCCATGGTTTTCAGCTCCATCAGGTCATTCAAGGTTTTCTCCACACTGTTTATTATAGTTAGCCATTCGTCTAGCCTTTTTTCAAGGTTTTTAACTTCCTTGCAATGTGTTAGAACATGCTCCTTTAGCTCAGAAGTTTGTTATTATCAACCTTCTGAAGCCTACTTCTGTCAGCTTGTCAATGTCATTCTCTGTCCAGCTTTGTTCTGTTGCTGGCAAGGAGCTGCAATCTTTTGGAGGAGAAGAGGTGCTCTGATTTTTAGAATTTTCGGTTTTTCTGCTCTGGTTTCTCCCCATCTTTGTGGTTTTATCTACCTTTGGTCTATGTGATGGTGACCTACAGATGGGGTTTTGGTGTGGATATCCTTTTTGTTGATGTTGATGCTATTCCTTTCTGTTTGTTAGTTTTCCGTCTAATAGTCAGGTCCCTCAGCTGCAGTTCTGTTGGAGTTTGCTGGTGGTCCACTCCAGACCCTGTTTTCTTGGGTATCACCAGCAGAGGCTGCAAAACAGCAAATATTGCAGAACAACAAATATTGCTGCATGATCCTTCCTCTGGGAGCTTCATCCCAGAGGGGTGCCTGCCTATATGAGGTGTCTGTCGGCCCATACTGGGAGGTGTCTCCCAGTTAGGCTACACAGGGGTCAGGGACCCACTTGAGGAGGCAGTCTGTCCATTCTCAGAGCTCAAACACTGTGCTGGGAGAACCACTGCTCTCTTCAGAGCTGTCAGACAGGGATGTTTAAGTCTGCAGAAGTTGTCTGCTGCCTTTTCTTGAGCTATGCCCTGCCCACAGAGGTGGAGTCTATAGAGGCAGTAGGCCTTGCTGAGCTGTGGTGGGCTCTACCCAGTTCGAGCTTCCTGGCCACTTCGTTTACCTACTCAAGCCTCAGCAATGGTGGACACCCCACCCACAGCCAGGCTGCTGCCTTGCAGTTTGATCTCAGACTGCTGCGCTAGCAGTGAGCAAGGCTCCATGGGCATGGGACCCTCCAAGCCAGGCATGGGAAAGGTTCTCCTTGTCTGCCGGTTGCTAAGACCTTGGGAAAAGTGCAGTATTTGGTCAGAAGTGTCCTATTTTTCCAGGTACAGTCTGTCACGGCTTCCCTTGGCTAGGAAAGGGAAATCCCCTGACCCCTTGCACTTCCCAGGTGAGGCAACGCCTGCCCTACTTCAGCTCACCCTCCATGGGCTGCACCCACTGTCCAATCAGTCCCAGTGCGATGAACCAGGTACTTCAGTTGGAAATGCAGAAATCATCCATCTTCTGCATCGATCACACTGGGTGCTGCGGACCAGAACTGTTCCTCTTCGGCCGTCTTGGAATGGAGCTCTATCTTTCCATTTCAATGCAGCCACTTTAGCAGTTCTCTTAAAGCTGAAAATATATAGAAAAAGATAAAACCTTTCAACAGCTACAGTGATCCTGAAGTAAATTACTGTGTATATGACACAGTGCATTATCAAATTGTTGCTGCATCAGCATGTCATTTTCAAAATGAAAACAAGTCTATTAAAGTGCATATCGAAGGTATAAAGTAGGATGATAGTGTATAGTTTGATCATGAGATATTGCTTGCAGTGTAAGTTTCATAGAAGAAAAATGGTTTGAGAAAATGGATCAAAGGGAAATCTCCAAGTTGACAACAATGTGTTAAGAGAATGAGAATTTCAAAGTACAACTACTGAAAAAGCCAAATTTATGCAGACAAAGTGAAAAAGAAATGAATCAACCCTGGAAGAGGGAGAATCAGCACATCACCGTCAAGGAAAACAAGTACAAGAATAAATGGATGTTAATTTCAGCTCACAAGACAGTAGTAATTTCAAAATAACTAAGGAAGGGAAGTGAAAAAATAAACTGCAGTGTCATAACTGACTCTTGATCCGGAGGGATGTATAAGTGTCCCTGAATAATGACTGTAGTTGTGGTTTTGCTTTTCTAGCCTCCTTGCTTGATAAAAAAGCCTATGGAATGATGTAAAACATAGATTGCAGATAATAAGTTTGTGCCAAGGATTGGCTGGTTTAGCTCAATTTCATATCAACTTACAATTTAACCTAGAGTATTTTACATCATCTCATCAGTTTATCCATTTAAATTGATTATCTTGATCTTCTTTTATTTTTTAAGATCATCCAGTAAGTATGTATTCAGCATCTAACCTGTACTAAATATTTTGCTAAGGTTGAGGGAGACATTAAACTCACAACACTCCTATAAGATGGACATTATTATTACTTCCATTTAACAGGTGAATGACTAAGGCAAAGTCATATTAGATGCCCAAGGTAACACAGCTAGTAAATGGCAGAATTGTTGTGTTAGTTCAGGTCCTCCAAGAAGCAGATGCCAAGACAAGAATATATGTGCAAGAGATTTATGGTATTGATCTATGTTGAAAATTTGGTGAGGAAGTTGCAGGAGCCTAACTGAGAGAGACTCAGGCCATAACGCTGGTCTGACCCTATGGAGGAAAGAGGGAAGGAAGGAAGATTGGGTAGGAAATTTCTTAGTCTCTGGTGCAGTTCTAGAAAATTTTGGCAAGGCTCATGGGAAGTCCTTGAGCTAAAGTAGCCCATATGAGGAGCCCCACATCTTGCAGAAATGGGCCTGCCTGAGTATCTCTCCCTGCTCAGCATTGCCTGGGGCAGCCCATGGAAAGGGTGGCCCAGAAATTGATGTGGTGGTGGATCCCAAGCAGCTGACCATCTGTCATTCACACTCCTGCACCAGGAAGTTGAGAGGCCATGTTACTGGTCCCACAGCTGAGATCTCAACCCATAAACCTTGTGGCAGAGAAAACATGCTCAACCCCAATGCCAAGGCAATCCTGGCATTCAACATAAAATCAGAGAATGCAAATCTTTATATGCCGCAATTCATAAATTCTTTGCATTTTTTTAGTCTGCTTCTGCTTATATCAGAGATAGAACATCCAAGGCCAACAATACACTTCTTGTCCTTGAGAACAGGTGGAAGTCACCTAGGAAAATGGAACATAAGGAGGATGGGATCCTCTTGTGGCATCTGTTGTGACCCTAGGAGAGACATTGTGGATGGCGAGGGGATACAAATTCTGGCTTACCTCCGTGGTCTGAGGATAGGGGGATCCTTTCAGAGTCCCTCCTATCCCTCAGGCTAACCAAGCATCTCCCCCTACCCTCAACTATTACCTGGTCCCAGGTAAGAAAGGAAGGAGGCTTTCCAGCATAGCCTTACTTTTGGCTGGGCTTGGCAAAGAAGGTGTTTGGAGTAATTATGGCCCCTCGGTCACCCATGAACTCAGACCAACCATCACTGGCCTCCCTTCCAGATGATCTCTATTTGAGCAGTTTGGTAATATTTTGGAAAGTACATTTCACTCATTTAATGGGAAAATAATTTAAATATGATTTAGATATGTATTGAAAGAATTTACTAGATATTTTAACCATGTGACTTGTTGTTGTTGCTATTTGTATTAGGGGAAAGATGCCAGGGAAATTAGGTAACTAGTCTAAAGTCTTGCAAAAGTAGGCAGGATTTGAACTTAAGTCTGTCTGACCTGAAGGCCACATTCCTTCTCCTCCATGGCCCCCTGCCCCAGATATTTTACTGGGCTCGGGCTTTACAAAATGCTTGTACATGTGCTATTTCATTTGAACTGTAATATTAGCTACTATTTTCCAGTCCAGTATTATGGGACTTAAAGACGTCAGTGCCAGAAGGTCTATTGGTTCTTTTCCCCTCCTGGGACTCCTCCTCTGCCTCAGTTGCCCTCATTGGGGTATCAGCCCCCACTACAGCCATTACAACCGGCTTGGCACGTCCACAGGGGCTGCTGCCCACTGAAGTGGGTACAATTTCTTTATCCACCCATTCTTCTCCATTCCTTTCTCTTTTTTTTTTTTTTGCCCCTTTTTTTAACCCTATCTTCATTCTTGAGTTCATTCCTGCCCTATTACTCCTCCAAAGCACACATGCTATCCACTCTTCTTCACTTTGAGACTATGTGAGTCGTGGCCGAATAGTTCGGGAATTTATTTTGCACAATTTGCACAGGCCAGCTCCTCTCACATCTGCTTCAATGATCTCTGTCTTTATCTTCCCAGTTCTGGTGTCTTTCCTTCAGCTCTGGATTTCTTGCTTTGGTTGGAGCCACTACCTCGACATGCTCCTGGGTAATGCTTTTTTCGTACGTGTTTTAACTTTTATTCACATGAGTGAAATTGATTTTTAAATTACCACTGTCCCTAGCAGGAAAAAGCCAGTGGCAGAGCCAGAAAGAGAATCTACTCCTCCTTGGCCCACCCTACATTCTTTGACTATCACAAATGCCCTGTGGAGAAAGAGAAACCTGCCCACCCTGTGTGTTCCAATTTACTGAAATAACATATAAGGCATGATTTGGTTATTTTGGAATTCCTCAATTTCTGATGTTATCATACCACAGAATTTTGGGACTATTTATCAGTTGAGTGTTAACATATCAGATCCAACTTTGTAATTCTTCTTTTTAGCAGTTGATTATATTTTTGAAGCCCACAAGCACCAATTTCAGGGAAAATATAAGCCTAAAATCATTCACTAGAAAACTACAGAACCGAATAGGAGAGTAAATATTATTTAACTTATGCTTATGATTTGATGTCTTTATTTCTTTTTTATTGTGAAGCAGAATTACCTTTGCCTAGCATTCTACTGACTCACCAGTCTAACCAATCTACCTTCTGAGGGTGGCAGCAAGATGGGCAAATCTGGAGATGAGCTCTTTCAACAAATAAACATCATGATAGATTCCTGGAAGGATTTTTGGTGTTTTGGCCGTAACTTTCTAGTTCAAATTGCTCATTCATGAATCGTCACAAAATGACATTCAAAAAGAAAGTAAATCTTGATTCAATTCATTATACTATGAAGCTTTTGACTTAAGAATTAGAAAAAAAACCTTTATCCAACAAACACCCTTTTTTGGGGGCGTAGATTACTTCCTCAATTCCATCTTACCACAGAATCAAATATTCCCAAGTATCAAGTATCCTTCTCATGTGAAATTCTTGCTATAAATGCCAAACAAGAGGAAAAAAGAAAAATGTACAAATAATTAAAACACAAATATATAGCATGTTAGTAGGCATTGTGTGAATGAAAAAATAGTTCATGTCTCTTTAGATTTATGCACAGATAAGAGATACCATTCAATACATGTGCTGATCAAAGCCTAAATATGAACATTCAATAAAGTAAAAGTGCTAACAAAAATTTGAGTTTGGCATTAGGTCACCAATAATGTTAATTGATTGTACTTATACATAATAAAAGCTAACATTTTAAATCTATCCTGATAGACAGGAATAGGAATCCACGCTCCAGCTTGGGATCAAGAAAACTAAAATTAGTAACACTAACTGGACTCCTTACCACTAAGGAGCTCTAACCAGAAACGTTTGTTAAAATAAAAAGATAGGGAGTGTATACTAGTATGCCTTTGGACTTAGCTAAGAAAAATGTAAAATATAAAATTGTATTAGTCCATTCTCATTCTGCTAATAAGGACATACCTAAGACTGGGTAATTTATAAAGGAAAGAGGTTTAATGGACTCACAGATCTACATGGCTGGGGAGGCCTCACAATCATGGCAGAACACAAAGGAAGGGCAAAGGCATGTCTTACATGGCAGCAGGCAAGAGAGCATGTGCAGAGGAACTGCCCTTTATAAAACCAGCCAATCTTGTGAGACTTATTCACTATCACAGGAACAGCACAGGAAAAACCCACCCCCATGATTTAATTAGCTCCCACAGGGTCCCTCCCACAACACATGGGGATTATGGGAGCTACAATTCAAGATGAGATTTGGGTGGGGACACAGCCAAACTATATCATTCTGCCCCTGGCTCCTCCCAAATCTCATGTCCTCACATTTCAAAGCCAACCATGCCTTTCCAACGGACCTCCAAAGTCTTAGCTCATTCCAGCATTAACTCAAAAGTCCAAAATCTCATCCGAGACAAGGCAAGTCCCTTCTGCCTATGAGCCTGTAAAATCAAAAGCAAGTTAGTTCCTTCCTAGATTCAAGGAGGGTATAGGCATTGGGTAAATACACCCATTCCAAATGGGAGAAATTGGCCAAAACAAAGGGGCTACAGGCTCCATGCAAGTCCAAAATTCAACAGGGCAGTCATTAAACCTTAAAGTTCCAAAATGATCTCCTTTGACTCCATGACTCACATCCAGGTCACAATGATGCCAAAGGTTGGCTCACACAGCCTTGGGCAGCTCTGCCTCTGTGGCTTTGCAGGGTATAGACCCCCATCTCAGCTGCTTTCATGGGCTGGCGTTGAACGTCTACAGCATTTCCAGGCTCACGGTGCAAGCTCTCAGTGGATCTACCATTCTGGGGTCTGGAGGACGGTGACGCTCTTCTCACAGCTCCACTATGCAGTGCCCCAGTGGGAACTCTGTGTGGGGGGTTCCAACCCCACATTTCCCTTCTGCACTGACCTAGGAGAGGTTCTCCATGAGGGGCCTGTGCCTGCAGCAAACTTCTTCCTGGACATCCAGGCATTTCCATACATTCTCTGAAATCTAGGTGGAGGTTCCCAAACCTCAATTCTTGACTTCTGTGTTCCTGCAGACTCAAAACCATGTGGAAGCTGCCAAAGCTTGGGGTTTGTGCCCTCTGAAGCCACGGCTCAAGCTGTACTTTGGCTCCTTTTAGCCATGGCTGGAGCAGCTTGGACACAGAGCACCAAGTCCCTAGGCTGCACACAGCAGGGGGGCCCTGGGCCCAGCCCATGAAACCATTTTTCCCTCCTAGGCCTCTGGGCCAGTGATGGGAAGGGCTGCCATGAAGGTTTCTGATATGTCCTGGAGACATTTTCCCTGTTGTCTTGGTGTTTAACATTCAGCTTTGTTTGTTTGTTTATGCAAATTCCTGCAGTAGGCTTGAATTTCTCCCCATAAAATGGGTTTTTCTTTTTTATTGCATCATCAGGCTGCAAATTTTCCAAACTTCTATGCTCTGCTTCATCTTGAATGCTTTGCTGCTTAGAAATTCGTTCTGCCAGATACCCTAAATTATCTCACTCAAGTTCAAAGTTCCGCAGATCTCTAGGGCAGGGGCAAAATGCTGCCAGTCTCTTTGCATATCAAGAGTGACCTTTCCTCCAGTTCCCAACAAGTTCCTTATCTCCATCTGAGACCACCTCAGCCTAGACTTTGTTGTCCATATCACTATCAGCATTTTGGTCAAAGCCATTTCACAAGTCTCTAGGAAGTTCCAAACTTTCCTACATCGTCCTGTCTTCTTCTGAGCCTTCCAAACTGTTCCAACCTCTGCCTGTTACCCAGTTCCAAAGTTGCTTTCACATTTTTAGGTATCTTTATATCAGTACACCATTTCCCGGTACCAATTTACTGTATTTGTTTGTTCTCATGCTGCTAATAAGTACATACCCAAGACTGGGTAATTTATAAAGGAAAGAGGTTTAATGGACTTACACTTCCACATGGCTGGGAAGGCCTCACAATCACAGTGGAAGGGAAAGGAGGAGCAAAGTCATGTCTTTCCGGGCAGGCAAGAGATTGTGTACAGGGGAACTGCCCTTTATAAAATCAACAGATCGTGTGAGACTTATTCACTATCATGAGAACAGCCCAGGAAAAACCCAGCCCCATGATTCAATTACCTCCCACCAGGTCCCTCCCACAACACATGGGGATTATGGGAGCTACAATTCAAGATGAGATTTGGGTGGAGATAGAGCCAAACCATATCAAAAATGCTTCCAGTGAATAGACCTGGGGAAAATAAAACAAAGTAATTTTTAAAAATGCTTAACATGACCAGGCACAATGGCTCATACCGTAATCACAGCACTTTGGGAGGCCAAGGTAGTAGGATACCTTGAGCCCATGAGTTCAAGGCCAGCCTGGGCAACATAGTGAGACTCTGTCTCTACAAAAATAATAAAAATAAAATAAATAATTATGGTTTTAAAAATGCTTAACATAACCCTTTCTACTTCAGCAGGAGGGATAGATTTACATTTTGGGATGTTTTCAGCATCAGATTACTCTGGGTGACCCTACCTTCAGAAGCAGATAAAAGTGGTAACAACACAATTAAGGAGTATTCTTCAGTGAATAAAATATTTGAGAGTACAGAGGTAAAGAATAAAAGTTCTGTGGTCCCATCTAGGGCTAAATGTCAACACCATAAAAATCATACTGAATCACTCTGATCCTATCACTGCAGAACTGAAAATTATTCCATTTATTTTATACACATTGGGACCCAAATAAGTTCCAACTTATATAAAAGAATGAAAAGTAAATCCTGACAACCTACCGGAAGAGAACACTCTGCCCCGTGCTTTCCATTCTCCTTCGAATGCGTGAGTGTCTCTCCCTGTCTCTCTGTCCTGCTCTCTCACGTCACTTTCTTTTCTCCATCTTTATTTCACTCTTCTTTGGTGTCTCCTTTGCTTACTGACATGTATTGGGCTTTTTTCTTATGCATTGTCCTCCTCTTATTGCTTATTATTATTAGTGCTGCTGTGCGAAAAGTTTTGTTTCTTTTTTTATCATTTCAAAAGCAGAGGAGAAAAACGTTTAAATGTATATTGCTCAGCCAAAATAATGTTTATTTGCATGGGAACTTCGATTTGTGTGTGTTTGTGTGGTATACCAGAGAGAATGGGGACAGCAATTTTTCCTATTGTAGAACGAGAAAAGGACCAACCCCTCTTCAATAACACCAGATAATGGGTAAAGTGGCTGAAGTTAGTTATTATGTGCTTTACCAAACCTTGGAATCAAATTGTAATACAAATATTATTGTTATTCCTTCCTTTCCCTCCACATTTTTTTTTAAATAGCAGTTAGGGGGAGTGATATTCCCCTACTTTGCTCTGTTTGGTCAATCTCTGGCTCATCATAAGGTAGAGACGATGTTTTCTAGGAAGCCTGAACGTAGGGTGCTTATTATTGGTGTGATGTTTAGTTTGTTAATTCCCACCAGCCTGAGACCACCAGGAGCACACCACAGAAAGGTGGGTCTGTGGGCTTGCAAGAACAGGAACATTAGAGGGGGGTGTGCACTGTGGGGAACTACGGGGCATCCTTGTAAGGGAATGTGGAGAGGAGGATATTATAGGATTGGGGCTGGTGTCGGGTGATTTCAGGGAGTGAAGATTTGTTGTGGATTGGGTGGTGCTCAGGAATGGATGCAAATTGATAGCAGGAGGGCCCACGTGGGGCTGTTTGTCATTGGGAAAAAAGTGGTAGCCAGTCAGGTTAGCCAGATGAGGGAGTTTTTCGGTTATTTTTGTGGCCACACATGGTTTTGGTGTTCAGACACAACGAAGGCTTTTTTGTGTTGTTTGGCCATGATCATGGAGTGAACCTGTTTGATTATTGCTGATAGTCTATGGAATTGTATTATGTTCAGGAGTCTAGCTGTTACCTCAGTCTGGCTGGTACCTGCAAACTGCCAGCTGCCAGAGCCTTTTTGTTTTTCCTTCTTTCTCAGGTCTCAGAGTAAATGTTAACCAATCGGTCAGTCCATCCATGTGTAATAGCTGCTATGCCCAGCACTGAGCTAAACATTATGAACACCATATGGGGACTTTCTCATTAATAAAACACCCACATTTAAAAAGTAATGGAAAAGAACATAAAAGAACTAGAGAATACTTAACTAATATTTGAAACCGAAGTAAATATTCTATCACTCATCCATTTTGTGCCCTAGAAGGTTCTAAATGAAAAGTTTTGGTAAAACCCTTCATTTATTTCATAGCTAAGAGAAAGGGTACTGTTTGAAAATTAATTTTTATAAATAATTGAATTGTTCCTCCTCCTAGATAAGCTCAAGACACTTTGTTAAATGAACACCTGACAAAGGCTTTCATTTTTTCTAATTACAAATTAGAGATACTAGCTGGGTTGTGTCTGGTTTTTTTTCATTGTTTTTGTTTGTTTGTTTATCTTTGTTGTTGTTGTTTTTTACCTCTTGCAGCAGTTGAAATGCATGTGGTCTTTGGTTCTGTATATTTAAGCTCTAGTTTATTACTTCTAATCTTTAAAAGATATTAAATCATTTAAATTGGCAGACACCAGTGTTTGCTGGCTGCTCGAATATTACCATTTAATACCCTACATTGGAGAATTAAAGCATGGTGCCCTGCTATAGGCAAAGTTTAGAAGAGTCCTGCCTGTCATCTTGATGGTTTCCAACACTGAGTTTTCTAATTACTATATTTTGGTAGGGCGAAACTGAGTATGCTGATGGTTTTTGCAGCTATGGTAGTAACATTTTTCCAGCCATCTTTAGGTATGTTTTTCAGTGGAAAGTTTAGCATTGGAAGTTTAGGGTTTTTTTTTTTTTCTTTTTCTTTTAGTGGAGTGATGTATAGGTATTCTATTTTATTACTCATTGGAAAATTATCTATTTGTACAGTGCCTAAAACAGCTGAACACCTAGTAATTGTTCAGTAAATGATGATGATGATGATAGTGATGATGATGATGATTTTCTCTTCAAATTAAGGACAATGTCAAATTAATTCTTGTTCTCTAGCTTCTAATACAGTATTTGACTCAGCCTCCCTACCAGCCACTTGACTTTGCTAATTACTTATGTTGTAATCATTTGATAGTAATTTGAATTATTCTTTTTTTTTGAGATGTCTTTGTATTCCTTGAAAGAAAGTTATTGTTTGTTATATATCAAAAATTTTTAGCAATCTTTAGGGTCTTTTTTCTCTGAAAACTCAAGTTTATTTTTGTCTTTTTATCAAATACTTTTATAGATTTAGGAAATAACTTATTCTAGTTTAATAAATTATACTTGGCCCGTTATTGTTACTCCCTAATCTTTCTTTGTTTCTGATGGGGAGAAAGGATCCTTTTAGATTCTTTTTAAGTCACTCTGATTTCATTCTGGAAAGAATAAGGCAACATACATCAAATCCTTTTGAGAATATTCAACATGAGATAGTTTTCTTTTAAGTCTGACAGTGGCAGGCCATAATACTACTGAATAAATTCTTACCAAACTGAAGCTTCTGGGCTCAGTTTCAATGTTTTATTTAGTATTGTTCTCACCAGCTTTCTTCTGACAGGGCTCAATGAAGATGTTAGTTAATATTCTTGCACATTGCATTTGGATGGGTTTGCTCTTTTTGGTACTGACTCTGTTACGGTTTTCACAATGACACACACTTCTGTTGGTTTATTACTAACCATAGTTGTTATTGAAGAGAACCTCTCTTTCGGCCTCAGTGATGTAGTAAACGGTAATTTTGCAATCCTTACAAATTCACCCTTATACAATGTATGGTACATTTCTGAACATGGTAATTTTTAAGTGCTTTCAACTTGCAAAGTAGCAAATTGATACACAGGGGATTTCCGACAGCTTCTTCTCCAGACTGAATGTCACTCATGGGATTGTGATTCCATGTGAAATAAGGCAACATTGGCCGGAGGAGCTGCCATCTGGACTTTGACGACGAAGGCATCATTTACACAGGGCTGGCATTCAGAGCCAGGGTCACAAAGCAGCTCTTTCCAGGAGCAAAATGAAGTTGTCAAGCAAGTATTTGCTCTGACTCTGCCAGGCACCATTCAGATATGACAAACTTGCCTTCCTCTTTTTATTACAGCTTACTAATTCTGGAGAAAGATGGAAATTTTTTTTTTTAATGCGTGCTCTTCCAAAGGTCAAAACAATTTTAAACAAGGGCAGGCACAGTCCTGCAATAAAAATTCAGCAATCTAGTTGTGCAATAAGTCCGTGTAGGGGCTGAGGGAAGTGTCATGTTTACCTCTCTGGAAAGGGCACTGTAATCAAAAGACTGATGGCAAGAGGAGCTTTGAATTTGTTGTTCTATTTCTCCCACATCTGCATGAAATTGTGTCTTTGAAACTATATATTATGGAGATGAGTGATACTGGAGAGAAACACATGCTCTGAAGTAAACAGAAAAATACAGCAGCATAATAAAATGCTTTGCCCACTTTTACAGCCTCTGTGGTGGCCATGAAATAGGAGATGCCAACTGATGGGGATGTGAGTGGAGCTGTTTGAGGGGTGGATTTTTCCCCATTACTACACATAGATGCTTGCATCTTTCCCTAACTGTGTATTTCCTTAGGTGGGTAATGACAGTCAGTGGAAAAGCCAGTGCCTGCTGTTCAAACACAGTGTGGAAAAAATGAAATTGAAAACAGTGGTGATGAGATCCAGTTCTCCAATATTCCTCTCCTAGACAGACTAAAACCTTTCTTCTCCCGCAGCGTTAGCGCTCACTCTGGTCCTCTCAGCTGCAAAGCAGATGGATTTCTTTGAGAAGTGGTCAGAATTTCCTTGATTCAGGAGCTGGACCTCACGCCCTCCTCTAGGGCTCCATCATCACCACACAGGCACACGGCCACACCTGAGTCCCATACACAGAGAAGGGTGGTCATGGACAAAAGAAACAGTGGACAAAGTTTTGTGTATGACAATTCCTGGTGGCTCCAATAGCAGGATGGATGGATTTGGGCTATTAACAGAGGTCCAAAATCCCAAAAAGTGACCACATGTAGATGAGACAGTCATGACTTTTATGTGCATTTGAATTGGGCTTGAGATACCTAAGTGGGGATGCCTAATCGACAGTTGGATATGTGAGTCTGAGTCTCAGAGGAAAGAGCTGATTTAAACGTACAAATGAGTGAGTCCTGTGTCTACTGAAGGCCTGAATATGGATGAGACAGCACAGAAAGCAGAAGAAGAGGGAGCATAGAAAGACGGGACTTGGAAAGTGCCAACTTTTTCATTGTTTGAGTTAAAAAAAAAAAAAGTTAAGACTAACAGAAATAGCAACCAGAGAAGTAGGAGAAATCAGGACCAGCTCTCGGGACATAGGTTAAGTGTAAAGACTGTTCCAAGACAAAGGAATGACAGGGACAATATTGAGCATCAAATGCTGCTGAGAGGTCTGGTAAAATAAAAAATGCAAAGATCTATTGGATATAATGAAATGGAAGGAGGAGTAGACCTTAACAAAGACCATTTTCATGTGATGATTGGAGTTGGGTGTGTGTGTGTGTGTGTGTGTGTGTGTGTGTGTGTGTGTTTCCAAGTAAGATAATCAGTCTTAGATGCCAGTGGGAGGAATCCTAAGAGAAATAAAGAATAAATAATAATGTACATCTCCTGAGAAGATGGAGAAAGGGTAGAACCCTACCATAAGACCAGGAAGTGGCCAGAGGTAGGAGGAAAAACTGCTGTAAGAGACAGGAGAAGATGGTATTCCTACAGACAGAATGGTGAGGCATTTCTCTCTGATATCCTGTATTTTTCCATGAATTTAAAAATGAGATCAGTTGTTGAAGAATGAAAAGGAAGTTCCTGAGAGCATAGACACAAATAGATACATGTGTTTTGTTGAAAGGCCAAAGAGTGAAACCATTGGAATTGAGTATATGTAGCACCACCAAATGCAGAAATCTATTAAATTGTTAAGAATATGGAACTGGAGTTCACAGGAGGGAGAGAGAGAGTGGGACTAGACTTATGTGGCATTAGCATTACCAAAGGTGTGTATTGTAGTCATGGGACTGAATTCATGAAGTCATTTAATATATACTGAATTATTATGAATCCTAGTAGCTGCAGAGAATATATACTGAGTTATTGTTATGAACCTTTGTAGCTGCAAAGATAAAGTGAGATGGCTTCCACCCGCTGAGTAGTCGTCGGTCTAGAAAGAAGCTGACATTTACACAGGAAATAGGCAGTGTGACCGAGGCTCCAATAAGCAGGACAAGGTTTTATAAATGTTTGTAAGAAAATGCACCTCTCTTTGCTAGAAGAATAGAATAGTTAGAATAGGAAAACAATGTTTGTATCTATACATAAAGAAAAAGCAGGCCAGCACCGTGGCTCACGCCTGTAATCCCAGCACTTTGGGAGGCCGAGGCTGGCAGATCACCTGAGGTCATGAGTTTGAGACCAGCCTGGCCAACAACGGTGAAACCCCGTCTCTATTAAAAATACAAAAATTAGCCAGGCCTGGTGATGGGTGCCTGTAGTCTCAGCTACTCAGAAGGCTGAGGTAGGAGCATCGCTTGAACCTGGGAAGCGGAGGTTGCAGTGAGCCAAGATTAAGCCACTGCACTCCAGCCTGGGCGACAGAATGAGACTTCATCCACCCCTCATCCCTACCAAGAAAAGAAAAAACAGTGGCAAACTTGATGAAGAAATGAGAAGAATATTTCTGTTACCGAGAAGAGGTGTGAATAATGTTGTTACAATATATGCAATGTAAAGAAAATAGACATGTGGCAATATAATCCAATTAGGTCACTTCTGAAAACATAATCAGAAAAAAAAATCATAGAATCATGAAATAATAAAGCCAGAAACAGAGATCATCAAAGTCCATGCCCCATGTTAGACAGCAGGAAAGAGCCTGAGGAAGAAATGGAACGTTATGATCATAATGGAGGTGGAATAGAGTCCAGATCTCCTGGCTCCAATTTCAGTGATCACCTCACTCACTGATCTCTATTTCACAGCCACTCTTGCACTGGCTGGAATATGCAGGATCTGTAATATCCTTGGGAAGGAACAGAATTCTCTGGGGTCCACTGTCAAATAGTGGACATCTGAATCAGCTGCTTCAGGTGAGGTGGTGCTCAGCCCCCTGCCTCTGTCCACAGATAGAGAACAGAGTTACTTTGTGAGCCTCTAGGCTGTCAACATTACCCTTGCAGATCTGTAGGATTTATGCTATGCTGGAGACATAACTGCCGACCTAGTGGGACCAGAGTGGAGGTAGGAAGGCTTCCGAGTCTCTCTTTGTAAAGCCTGTGACTACGAGCCAGGCTTTAACAGAATCCCTGCTTTACTCCCTTTTTGTGGGTTATGCCATGTACCTCTATAGTCTCCCAAGAATCTGTCAAGATATCAGCTTTTATTACTCATTACCCTAAACCTAAAGAAGACAGACAGGACAGAACCCAGGAAATCCAATAAGTGGATTTCCCAGAAATGAAAGTGCATAGAACCTAGAAATCCTTATATGTGAATTTTCTTGTGAATAAAAAGTATAATAGAAAAACAATTTGGTTTGACAAATATATACAGAAATCTTTTGTTTGTGTGTATGTGTGTTTATTTAAGATTCGCCTGCTTTTGTAAATGTAATCAGCTACATACAATTTTTAAATTTCTCACTTCCGTAAAATTGTCTTTCCTTGGGTCATGATTCTGAACACTGATATAACTGTACAGCATGATAGATAGGGTAGGTGTAGAAAATTGTACTGAATTGTCATTGAGTGTTGGCTATACCAGGGTCTCCCAGAATATAGAAAGCCTTGTGCTAGTTAGAAAATGGGCTCCTCTTCTCTGCAGGCCAATTAGTTTCAGCCAGCCTCATGAGCTGACTGCATACTGAAGTCAGCCCCAAATCCTGCCCTCCCAAATCAACCTGCACTACCATATCTTAAGAGTAGACTGTCAAAACAAGTCCCTGGTTTACTCTTTTTTTTGAGACAGTGTAAGACACAAGTAGATTATTGAGCTTCCTGAAAAGATAGATTCAGAGTAATTAAAATTTGATTTTAATGCTGCTAAGAAAAGAATAGAGATGTGATATAAAGTTATGACACAAGGAATACAAATAAGATTATCACTTATGGATGATGGCTGTTTGAAAGATAAGCCCAATTATGAACACCAATACAGATTCTGCAAATGTATGTTCAGAGATGGTTATATAAGTGGCATAATTGCTGTACCTTTTACATAGAAAAATTGCAGCTATTCTTTAATCAACTGACACTGGGAGAAACTGATTAGGTGTGATAAAGTTGCCTCAGGTGAAATCCAATTTCAACTGATAGACTGAGGCATAAAGAAAGGAAAAAATACACCGAAACACCAGAATTCAAAATGTGCGCATGATTTTTAAAATTTATTTTCTCTTTTTTCTTTTTTTAAAAATGTGTTTAGATATGAAAAAAGAAATAGAATAATGACTTGAATTCGTGCATCTGAAAAATGTTTATTAACCACCTAACTATGGACAGGTGCTATTTATCAGAAACCAAAACAACAGCTCAACTCTACTGGATCATAAACTCTAGTGGGAGGGGACAAAATAAACAATAAACAAAACAGTATCTAATATTAGAGGTGGATAAATGCAAATAGATAAATAAAGTAGGATAAGGGTTATGGAGTGAAGCAAAGATGCTCTTTGGAGGTTATTAAGTGAAAGCCAGCCTAACAAAATGGCATTTGAAGAACATCTAAGGAAGGAGGATGAAAGGTCCTTGAGGATATTAAGGAAAGAGAATTTCAGGTGGCAAAAATAGTCCCTGCCAAGCCCTAAAGTGGGAATGTGCTTGGGTGTTTAAGGAGCAGCAAGATGGCAGACCGGCTGGAACAGCGTGAGCAAAAGCCTTGAACAATGAAAGAGGTCAGTGATAAATAAGGAATTCATTCTTCACAGAAAATGGGGCGATGCATCCAGGCAGGTTATAAAGATTAAGAGTTGAAATCAGAGAGGCAGGTGGTTTTGATGTTTTGAGATTTGCTTCCTAATAGGCATCTTAATCAAATTATTCATCCAGAGTTGCAAAGCAGCAATAACCAAAAACATATCTGAATATTGAGTAATTTGTCACATTCATTACAATCAAACTGATATCATTTGCCTCGCCAGAAAAAAAAAAAAATGACTAATTGACATAATGTGAAGAGCTTTGAAGAATTGCATTTAATACCAGCAGGTTAATCAAAAGGCTAACGAAACAAGTTTTAGTTAAATACATACAAGGAAAAATGTATTCTGTGTCTTTCCTGCTGTTGTCAGGAAAAAAAGAATAAGGGCAAATTTTAGTGATTTCACTGTTTATATGTGTCCCTTTTACCCACTTGAAAAATCTGCCACTTATTATTGTTATTGAATTTTCCGTCATCTTACTGCTCTTCTGTGAGATTGGAGGACTTTGAATTTGTGCCACTTTTATTAACTGCTTGTGCCATCGAGAAAGGCTTTAGCATCTTAGTTTCCTGGGAGGAAGACCGGGTAATGGATGAATAATGTGTGACTCTGCCAGTTTGATGTGTTATAAACAAAAAAAGGATTTGTGCCCCCACTAAATAGCAGGCTTGATATGAGACCTCAGGTTTTGAGCTGCATAAGCAGCGTCTTGCTCTGCTGTTGAAGAATGGATGCATTTTTCAGATAGTAAGTAACACATGACTGTCTGGAGAGTAACAAGTATTGGGTTGGTGCAAAAGTAATTGCAGTTTTTGATGTTACTTTCAATGGTAAAAACCGCAGTTACTTTTGCACTGACCTAATAGGGTTAAAGGTCAAGGCTAAGTATTTTAATGTCATCAATTTTATTTTCTTTCTTAATGTGTTAAATAGTAGAAAAGAAGAGGCCAGGTCAGAAAGTCTCAATATTAAGGCTTATTTGTCTCCCTTGTCCTTTTCTGGACTCTCCTGGTCGTGTCTTCATCAAATTGGGTTAAGAAACCAAACTCAGCTTGAGATATTCTCCAAGGCAATGTTTATGTGGAGTTGGTTCAGGCCCCAGCACGTTGGGAAGAAGTAGTAAATATCATAATAGTGATTGTAGTTATTGATCAGTATTGGTCCAATCATCAGAGCTTTGATCTTTCCTTCTTTGTCAATTTCTTTTACTTTTGACTACAGATTCATTCAGAACTCCACCCCCCGCCACCCCGCCCCATCTTGCAGAAGCCACACTTTCTCCTTCATCACCCTTTGGCTGGTCTGTCTCTCTCTCCTTATGTTCAGAAGGCTTTTCTGTTTTGATCATTCATGTTTGCTTTCTTATATCACCTTAACCTCTTAAAGCTTGATCACCTGAAACATGAGTCTGCCGCTCAGATGATTCTAATCCTCAAATCTGATGATGTCGGCCAACCTTTACCCTTGGAACACTGGAACATTTACCTTTCTGAAACACTCACCGCTCGTTTACCTGCTAGAAGCTGGAGTACAGAATCAGTGTCCAGGTGGAACTCCCAGTCTGTAGGGAAGATGAGCACATAAAGTAACTGCAACACAATACATGAATCAGAGGAAGAAATGCAATAACTAAGTTCTGCATGAACTGTGGCTTAACACAAATAGGGAACAAATACTAGTGGCTGTGGGAAATGAGAATGAAAGCAGATTTCAGAGAAGTAACATTCTTCAAATCACGTTGCCTAGACCCTTCCCATTTTGTAGCTGCTTTCCTAAATTCTTTCTTCCTCTCCTGTTGCTGCAGCACCCTAAGAGGTGGGGCCTTAGCTAGCCATGTGCCCCATTCCACAGACTGTCCCATGCTCAGGCATCAGTTGTCACTGTGGATGACTCACAGAATTAAAGATGCGGTTCTGGCTGGGCGCAGTGGCTCACGCCTGTAATCCTAGCACTTTGGGAGGCCAAGACGGGTGGATTGCTTGAGGCTAGGCATTCAAAAGCAGCCTGGCCAACATGGTGAAACCCTGTCTCTAATAAAAATACAAAAAAATTATCCAGGTGTGGTGGCAGGCACCTGTAATCCCAGCTACTTGGGAGGCTGAGGCAGGAGAATCGCTTGAACCCAGGAGGCAGAGGTTGCAGTGAGCCAAGATCATGCCACTGCACTGAAGCCTGGGCAACAAGAGGGAAACTCCATCTCAAAAAAAAAAAAAAAAAAAAAAAAAAAAGATTTGGTTGTAATCTCTCTCTCTCTTGAAGTCGTAAGTCCCATCTCTTGTACATCCTCATTTCCAAGTTGCTATGTCAGAGGGCTTCTCAACCAGGGTGCTACTGGCATTTGAGGTGTGACATTTATTGTGCAGAACTATCTAACACATTGTAAGACATTCAGCTTTCATGGGACCTGAGGCACTACATATCAGTGGCACCTTACACATGTTTCCGAATCATACCTGAGGAGGTAGTGCCAGCCCCAGTTGAGACCCACTGGCACATCAAATTCACCCTCTATAAAATTAAACTGAAAAAGTGTTCATTTCCCCCAAAATTAACACTCTCCTACTGACATTTCTTTCAAAATGTTCAGATTTGCGTAATCGTGAAACCAAGCATTTACCACTAGCTGATCCATCAGGTCAACACATCCTACTAATGTCCTTTTATAGTATGTTTTCCCTCTGTCTGTTAGGCAGAATGTCACATCCATGATACTCCAAGTCTTTATCACCTAATTTGTAGAATAGTTCCTCTATTTACTGTTGCCTTTCCTTTATGTCACATTGTATAATAAAATATCACCTTGACCATGCCTCTCCCTTGCTTTAAAACCTACAGTAACAGACTTCGACTATACAATTAAGGCCAAATAGATACAACAAAAGTGCTCCCCCATAAACATTTTTAAAATGCATAAGGCCAGGCGTGGTGGCTCACGCCTGTAATCCCAGCACTTTGGGAGGCTGAGGTGGGTGGATCACCTGTGGTCAGGAGTTCGAGACCAGCTTGGCCAACATGGTGAAACCCCATCTCTACTAAAATACAAAAATTAGCCAGATGTGGTGGCAGGCACCTGTTATCCCAGCTACTCAGGAGGCTGATGCAGGAGAATTGCTTGGACCCAGGAGGTGGAGATTGCAGTGAGCTGAGATCATGCTATTGCACTCCAGCCTGAGGGACAAGAGCAAGACTTCGTCTCAAAAAAATTAAAAATAAAAATAATTTTTAAAATCCTTTTAAATGTATGATTGAGCATGCAAGAAATTGAGGAAGATCCTTGAGGCCTAAAATGAAGAAAAATCATGAACCAAGGTTATAAATGAATGCCAAAGCCAGAAGCTGACCTAAAGGCTTCTGTCAGTTCCATGCAACCAGCAGCTTTTCTTTCAGTGGCTATATGAGGAAGAAGGGTCCATGCCAAGTAATAAATTATATCAAATATCCCTGTATGGAAAACAAAATCCAGGGGGTTAGACTCTCAATGAAAAACAAAACTGAAAATGGAAAAATCCACTCTACAAAAGAAGATAATGTAAAAATTTTGATTATCTGAACTTTAGCTCAGAGTACAAAGAAGAAATTATCCCTTGAAGCTATGTAATAGAAAGCCAGTTCTGATGCATGTTTACAGCCTAACTTCACAGCATTTGAATGGTTGGAGAAAACTCAAGCTGAAAATATATTTTAAAGAGGTCCCAGATTGGTAATGTCTCCATGTATCTGAGAAAAGCAAATGCAGATGATCTGAGAGAGACATACCTTCTACTGAACCTCACAGGATTCTCACAGACATATTTCCAAGAAACATGATCTCAAAAGAAAAAATAATCACCAAATGTATGGGGAAACAAGATACTGTAATTGTGAATCAATAGAGATAACTAATAGCATTTTCAGTCCTACAGAATCTTCAGGTATTGAAATTATTGGATTGAAAAAAATTTTAAAGAGAAAAGTGGATATACTATTAAAAATAATGGGTAACATTTGAAAAAGAACCAAATAAACATTACAGGAATAAAAACATAATAGATAAAATTAAAAGCTTAATGTTAGAGATAAATAGCAGTTTCTACCCAGCTAAAGTAGGAACAATGAAATTAAAAATAGATTCTGAAGAAATTTCCCAGAAATCTGCCCAGTGAGAGTTGTCAAATATGAAAAATAAAATATTAAAAGCAAGGAGATTAGATCACAACCAATCAATACATCTCTAATTGGAGTTGTGAAAGAAGAGATAAGAGTGGTGAGGCCTTATTTTGGTGAATGATGGCTAAAAATTGACCAGAACCAAAAAAACATGCAAATTAAGATTCAGATTAAGGCATCATAGTGGATGTAAGCCAGAATGAAAGCAATCCCCAGCTAGACAGAAATTACAGATTATTTACAAAAGAATTGAAATTAAACTGACCATTGACTTCTTGACAATGGAACCCTGAAGAAACAAACTATTGTGAGAAAATAACCATTGACCTTGAATATGCCACCCAGAAAAAAACACATATATAAAGTCTAAATAAAGACTTTTTAGGACAAAATAATGATAACATACTACCCTCTGACCCTAGAGAAAAAAAGATCTCATAAGAATAGTCTGAGATAGAAAAAAGAGGGAACAAAGAAAATAGTAAAATGTCAGTAAATCTATGCAAACATTGACAATATTGAGCAATAAACTTTAATTTGTGATATTTAAGGAAAACAAGATGAAGCTAAAAAATAGATGAAATACCTTATATGTAAGGAACAGAAACAAGCTATAAAATTGCTGTATTGTTTAGGAAGAGAATAAATATACTATGTTGAGACACTGTTAAGTTAAATATGAAATTTAAACTTTCTAGGGTATCTACTAAAAGAATGATATTTAAGAGAATGCAAAATTCTAAACCAGTAGAAAATATATGGAATGAAGAAAAACTATCAATTCAGAAGGAAGAAAAAATACTTAAACATTAGTAACAATAAAAAGCAAACAAGAGAGAAAAAAAGGTACAAATATTTGGAAATAAGTCCAAGTCAGTTATCACAATAAATAGACTAGACTCTCCAGTTAAAAGATAATTTTAGACAATTAAAAAGAAAAACTATGTGCTGTACACAAGAGATATTAAAAACATTAAGGACACCACAAAGTCTGAAAGAAAGATGATAGAAAACAAGGCCAGGAGATTACAAATTCCAAAAAGCTATTGTGAGCCTATTGATACGAATGCAAATGAAAGAGAAAAAAAAATTACAATTCAGAGCATTACAATAGCATAAAAATTTCCAAATTACTGAAAATACCTAATGCTAAACTTGGGAAGATTGAAAGATATAGTATTATAGAAGAAGCTTTTAATATTGATGTCTCAGTAATTATAGGTCAGAAGCCTTTAAAAATCATTAAGTGTACAGAGCAGCAGTATCCAAAAGAACTTTCTGAGGTGATCAAAATATTTTCTGTACAATATGGTAGCCATTAGCACATATAGCTAGTGAGACTGAAAAACTAAATTTTAAATAGCTGCGTGTGGCTATTGGTTACCTACTGGGCAACCCAGATAGGATTAAATAGCATAATTAATAACTGTGAGTCAATGCACACATAGTACTATTAGAAAATAAATATTTTTTCAAGCACATGTAAAATGTTTTTGAATATTGACCACAGACTCGATTCTTTAAAATAAATCTCAACAAATTTCAGGTTATTGGTATCATAAATCCTGTTTTCTATGACCAATTAAATTTTAAAAATCAGCTAAAAAGACACTTTTACAAAAAAAGCTTAAAGCAAAACATATAATTAGACATTTTAAAAATACTTCTAAATAATCCCTGCACTGTGGGAGACTGAGGCGGGCAAATCACGAGGTCAGGAATTCAAGACCAGCCTGACCAATGTGGTGAAACCCCGTCTCTACTAAAAATAATAATAATCAAAATTAGTGCATATTATCAAATAATGATGACAGCATAATTCAAAACTTGAGGGATATTCCTAAAGTGGTATTTTGATAGAATTTATAGTCTTATGTGTATAGTAAAAGCTTAGAAAGGCTGAAAATTATTGATCCAAGCATCCATCTTAAGATATTAGACAAAGAAGGGAATTCTTGTACACTTTTGGTGGGGATGTAAATTAGGACGACCATTATGAGAAACAGCATAGAAGTTCCTCAAAAAATAAAAATAGAACTCCCATATGATCCAGCCATCTCTCTACCTGCTATGTATTTTTTAAAACTGAAATCAGTATGTCAAAGAGGTATCTGCATTCCCATGTTCATTGCAGCATTATTGATAGTAGCCCAGATGTGGAATCAACCCAAGCGTCCATGAATGGATGAATGGATAAAGAGAAAGCAGGATTTAAACACAGTGATTTCTGGAACACAGAAGAACATAGAATACATTATGTTGAGTGAAATGAGCTAGGCACAGAAAGACAAATACCACATCATCTCACTTATATATGGAATTTTTAAAAGTTGCACTCATAGAATTAGAGAGTTGAATGGTGGTTACCAGAGGCTAGGGAATGGGAGGTTGCAGAGTTGTTGATCAAAGGATATAAAATTTTAGTTAGATAGGAGGAATAAGTTCAAGAGATCTATTGTACAACATGATCATTATAGTTAATACAGTGCATTGCATTTTGAATATTGCTGAGAGTACACAAAAAATGATAAGTACGTGAGGTAATGCGTATGTTCATTAGCTCCACTGAGCCATTTCACAGTGCATACATATTTCAAAACATCATGTTGTATGTGTTAAATGTATTTAATTTTTATAGATCAATTAAAAACTATTTTTTTTAAAAAGAATAGACTAAAGGATTATAGGATATATCCAAAGGAAGTAGAACAAATGAAATGCATGTAAAAGCAGGAATAAATGAACAAGAAAATCAACCATACAGTAGGTAAAAATCAACAAATAGATTTTTTTTTTTTTTTGAGACGGAGTCTCACTCTGTCGCCCAGGCTGGAGCGCAGTGGTGAGATCTTGGCTCACTGCAACCTCTGCCTCCCGGGTTCAAGCGATTCTCCTTCCGCGGCCTCCCGAGTAGCTGGGATTGCAGGCGTGCACCATCATGCCCGGCTAATTTTTGTATTTTTAGTAGAGACGGGGTTTCACCATATTGGACAGGCTGGTCTTGAACTCCTGACCTCCTGATTTGCCCGCCTCAGCCTCCCAAAGTGCTGGGATTACAGGCATGAGCCACCACGCCCAGCCAACAAATTGATTTTTTGAAGAGACTAACAAAATCAATAAACTTCTGGCTAGACTGGTCAGAAAATAGCAGGAAAATATATTAGTAGAAATGAAGAAAAGGGATATAAACACAACTATTTCCCAATATATTTAAATATTTAAATGCAAAGAGCAAATTCATTTAAAAAAAACAACATCTACCTGGAATATAACATAAATTAGAATATAAACTTATAGAAATGGATATAAGAATAATCTTATAATGAAAGATACTAAATTATATGAGCCTCAGATAGTTTACCAAATAATTCCAACATAGCCCCCCCTACCATTCTTTGAGTCCAGTATTAACTTGATACCAAAAACATAATGATAGTACAACAAAGGGAAGTTATAGGCCAAAGTCATTCATGAATACAGTGGCAAAAATCCTAAACAAAATAGCAAAGCAAACCCAACCATATGTATGAAGAATGATTTATCACAACAAAGTCGATTTTTTTAAAAGTACTATTATTAGAAAAAATCTCTGAACGCTAAAAGGAGAAAAAACTTTTATCATTTTAATAAGAGCAGACAAAGGATTGAATAAAATTTAGTATTGATTCATGCAAAAAAAAATCCTAACAAATGAGAAATGACAAATAGCTTCCTTAAACATAAAGATGAACTATTCTTAACAGGTGATAGCAGCATCTCAACTCAATGGTTACACATAAAAGCGTTTTCTTTAAAATCAGGAAGCACGTAAAGACCGTCATCACAACTTAGTTTAACATTGAACTAAATGGATCATATCCACTGCATTAGGACAGGAAAGAAGACATATTTTTATAATAGATAGAGGTTGGAAAGGAACAACTGTTGTTAAAAGAATAAGAGAAACAAAAAGAATCAAAGAAACAAATAGCATATGTTTCCATTCCATCACTTTGGTATTAATCACACTTGTTTCTGGAGACCATGGTGTAAAGGAATGAGCCAGGATTACTGAAGGGTCCTGCAGTGCCAGTGACCACAAGACAAGCCAGAACCAAGTTAACTTAGAGTGAATTGGCCTATTCTTTAATACTGCTCAGAATTACAAACTCCCATATAATCTGTCACTTAAATTCCATTCAAATTAATAAAATCTAATTCATTTGAATAAGACTTAAAGTGATTTGATTCTACTGCATCAAATTCTGCTCAGTGGAATCAGTCCTTGATTGAAATCTATTAAGTTCAATTCAGTAAAATAAATTTAAATATTATGCAATACAATTAATTTTTAATTAATTACCATTTCAGTTCAGGTCCATTTTGATCTGAACTTCAATTCTACATTTCTAAATTTGGTCCCTATTCAAATCAATAAAATGCAGCAAAATCCAGTGTAATTCTAAAAGATACAACCTGAAGCTAATCAACTGCATTTATTTCTATTCACCCCTAATCAGATGAGTTTAGTGACATTCAATCACAGAAAGATAAAATGCTCACCTTTAACTACCAAATTGAATGTTTACATTAGAACTTCAGAATTACCAGGTTTTCCCAAACTCACATCACCATCTGCAGTAGGGACTCCACAGGATTTTATCTTGACTCATTCTTTGTTTGGCTTATATATTAACATAGAACAATGTAGAATTGGATGGTTAGGAAACAAAAGAGAATATTGCTATCCTGTTTAATAAGCTGAAATCATAGGTAAGTTGAGATAATAGACTTTTGCATCTATGAGAATGCCAATACATGATTTTTTATTTTATTTTTAAAGTTCTTAATTTAAATAGTAAAAGACAGGAATTTTTGACTCCAGACCATGGTTATAAAACTGAGAAAAAAAGTATTAAAAGGACTGTATTATTCAGAAAAAAATAATTGGGAATTAAATTGAGATGTTACTATAGTAACACCATTATCACCTCTTTGTATCTTACCAAGCAAACAAGGTCCTGGATTGGTATCCCAATGGCACCCAGTCATCTGGGCCTCTTTGTTTCTTTATAGATGTTCCCAAGTGTCCAGTGAACTCCACCTACCACTGTCCTTTTCCCAGGTCAGTATATGGCAGACTGGTCTGATGGTAAGGATCACAGGGACACTGAGTCTCAAACTCTTCCTCTGAGATTCTTATTCTACAGGACAGGGGATCTATATTGTTTACAAGATCTTAGTGGAATCATAGGGAAATTGAAAACCCTTCCCTATACTTACCTCCCACCCGTGGGTGAAAAACAAAAAAATCAGAAGTTATTACTCCACGGCTTCACCTCCCCCACTTCATCCTCCTGTAAGGATCCTGAGACTTCAGCTACCATGGCCCAGATCTTGGAAGTGATTCTGTGCGGATTTTCCACATGTAAAAGAAGAGGAAGCTGTCTGTATTTAAGCCAGAGAACTTTAGGACTAGTAGCCTGTTTCCATTTCCAGTCCCTGGGGGAGGGGTTCCCATCAGGTTTAGCTTTAAGCCCCTATATTCCTGGAAGCGTACACATCCATACTGGGGAAAACAAGAAAATTCTGGCCGGCTTGATCTTCCAAATTACAGCTATCAGATGATTTGGAGGACTCTATAGAGGCTACAGCACCTCCAAATTCCTTCTCTGCTCCATCCCATCCTGGAGATTATTATAAAAGCTTTTACCTTTCTTGTTATCTAGGACATTTGCACTGGAAGGAAAGTTTCTCACAGGTGCAAGAATGTTTTGAATGGTCTAGAATTGCACCAATTAAGGATGCCTATACTTAGTAAGTGTATCATCACCATTCATAACTTAATATGGATTTTGTAATCAGATCAGAGTGCTCAGCTGAAATTTACTTATAAAGTGGAGAAAAAAGATTTGGTAGTGGTAAGAAAGGAAGAGAGAAGGAAGTAGGAGATTTTTCTGAGCATGAGTCGCTTAGAAAAAATCCTGCACTGCAAGGGCCTTCAAATAACCAAATGTTACCAGAGAGCAGAGCCTGGGAAGGACTGCCAATGAGCTGCCGGCAGGGGACACTGGGAACAATAGTGAAAAGCGTGTTTGTGCTGCAAGGGTACCTGTTCTATTTCCTCAGCTGAAGAGCCCCCAGGGACTCTTTAACAGAATTTGTAGATAAGGTTGTAATTGTACATATGATAAAACTAGTTCTCATCAAGCCAAAAAGATGCTTTTACGTTTTCATTTTGGAGATTATATACCCTTGTGGTGTTGTTTTTAATATCCTATAGAAACAGTGGGAATGAAAGAAATTAAATGTCCCAGAGACTGTGCTGGGTCTTATCTCAGAGGGCGCCAGGATCATATTTATTTAAGCAGCCTGTTAAGTTACTCTGTGTAGCCCAGAAGTTCCGAAGAACACATTTTGAAAATCACAGGTATGCACCTCATTTTCATCAAGCAGTCCCCAAGCATTCGCCCTTGTGCTTCTGAAACAACTTCTTGTTATTGGTGAAAATAAATAACAGAAATCTATTGGTTTCTTTTTCTTTCTTTCTTTCTTTCTTTCTTTCTTTTTTTTTTTTTTTTTTTTTTTGAGACAGAGTCTTACTCTGTCGCCCAGGCTGGAGTGCAGTGGCACAATCTCAGCTCACTGCAAACTCCACCTCCTGGGTTCAAGTGATTCCCCTGCCTCATCAGCCTCCTGAGTAGCTGGGATTACAGGTGCACACCACCACAGCTGGCTAATTTTTGTATTTTTAGTAGAAACGGGGTTTCATCATGTTGGCCAGGCTGATTTTGAACCCCTGACCTCAGGTGATCCTCCCACCTCGGCCTCCTAAAGTGTTGGGACTACAGGCGTGAGCCACCGCGCCCAGCTTATTGGTTTTTTTAAGTAAGTCTTGGAAAACTCCTTTCCTTTCTAGCCTATTTTCTTTCTCCCTTTCCCAGTTTAATCATCCACACCATAATAAACCCTTCACCATAATAAAACTTGATCTGAAGTGAGTACAAACAGTATAGTGATTATATTTAATTCATTTCATATTTGGCTGTTTTAATACAATATGCCTTACTTTGATAATTTAGCTCTAGTTAACTTAGAATGCCATTCATCATTACCTAACCTTGTTGCAGTGACCATAGCTACTTAATATAGTTAAATACAATCTTCATATTCTGAGGTTAGAGAAGTTCTTGAACTCTTGGAAATAGATAATTCAGTTATTTCTTTCCTCACCACTTTTTGCCCTTGTCTTTTAAAAAAGCTTTCCATTTTTATTGCCTTTAACTGCTATTCCCCAAAGCCAATTAACAGGTAAATAATGATTTGTAAAGCTAAAAGTAGCATTTCATTAGCATAGCACTGGAATAAGGGAATTCTTTGCTCAAAATAAATTGAACCGTTCTCCTCTTGCTGAATATAAAATACACAACAAATTAATAATTTATTTTAGTTACAGTGATTTAACCAAATTAGCCAATGCTAATAACAAAGTCTACAATTTCCTTTCTCTCTGGAATACGTTTTTCTTATTGGCATTCTTTTGCAGTAGATGTGGAAAGAGCTAAGTTAAGCATTTTGTGCTGTATTTTAACTTATTTTCCTAGGAAAAAGAACAGAACAACATCAATTTTGCATCAGCCTCACTGGGGGCATTCGTTATATGAAGACTAAAGTATTGTGACTTGAGAAAGAGTGAGGGATGGGAGAAGAAGCTGGGAAACCAGGCTGCTCTTGCCAGGTCACTAACTTGCCACCTCCTTGCACCTGTACTCCTTGCACATGGAGGAAATATTTCAGATCATCCCCTTAGGTCCCATCCTGTTGTGTAATAAGAGTCCCTCTCTACTGTAAGCTGAGGGTCTGCCATATGAGATTAGCACACAGCCTGGATCCCATGCACAGCTCAGGGCTTCTACTGGAACACCCACCGTAACCGCCCAAGGAGTTCACCTTGCCCGCTGCCTAGACAGAGTCGATTCATCAAGACAGGGGAGTTGCAATAGAGAGAGTAACTCACGCAGAGCCAGCTGTGCAGGAGACCAGAGTTTTATTATTACTCAAATCAGTCTCCCCAAGCATTTGGGGATCAGAGTTTTTAAGGACAACTTGGCGGGTCGGGGGGAAGCCAGTGAGCCAGGAGTGCTGATTGGTCAGGAATGAAACCACAGGGAGTCGAAGCTGTCTTCTTGCACAGTCAGTTCCTGGATGGGAGGCACCAGATCAGATGAGCCAGTTTATTGATCTGGGTGGTGCCAGCTGACCCATCAAGTGCAGGGTCTGCAGAATATCTCAAGCACTGATTTTAGGAGAAGTTTAGGGAGGGTCAGAATCTTGTAGCCTCCAGCTGCATGACTCTTAACTATAATTTCTAATCTTGCGGCTAATGTTAGTCCTACAAAGGCAATCTAGTCACCAGGCAAGAAGGAGGTCTGCTGTGGGAAAGGGCTATTATCATCCTTGTTTTAAACTATAAACTGTAAGTTTCTCCCAAAGTTAGTTCCGCCTACACCCAGGAATGAATAAGGACAGCAAGGAGGTTAGAAGCAAGATGGAGTCGATTAAGTTAGATCTCTTTCACTGTCTCAGTCATAATTTTGCACAGGCGGCTTCACCACTGCCCAAACAATTCAACAATGAAACTTCCTTTCCTGGGCTTCTGAGCACTCTCTGAAGGTACAGTGGGAACCAGCTGTCTCTCTTCTTTTCCCCTAGAGTATGTTCCTTGTAGTCTCATTCTGAAGGTAAAGCTGATTGTTATCTTCTCCTTTTACTGAGAATGTCCTAATTTTTACAAAGAATACTGGGCCACACACAGCTCTCTGATTCATGCAAATTATTACTGTCTGCAATGAAAATGAAACACAGTGTTAGGTTGTTTCTACTGATCACTCAAAGGAACAATCATAAATTGGGCAGAGATTCTGAGATATATAATCTTTCATTGGTTATTTGAGGTATGGGCAGGACAAAGGAGTCATCTGCTAGACAAACCTTTAACTCCACTTTTACAGGTGCCCGATTTGTTTCTTCTCCTCCACCAAGAGTGTTAGTGTCCTCTAGTTTCCAAAAACAGTGATACTAACCAAAAATTCCTTTGAGAGAATTTAGCATGAGGTCAGCTTTTTGAATGCAATGCAAAAAATGAATATGATAATCAGTTTTGGTAATGTTTCTATATTTTCAGGGTCAGGCTGTGGCCTGCCCAGCCTCAAAGGCATTTCATGAGGTCAAAATGGAACCATCTACCTTTGTCCTCTCTCTATAACATGGCCAGAGATGGAATCAGCCAAGACCTAGTGTAGCTTTTGGGCCAAATGACCTTAACATTTCTTTCGGTGGTTGAGATGCTGTGGTTTCCATAAATGGGATATTTCAACGCTTATTTTTGAAACTCTAGACTTCATAAGGAGAAAAATTTATTATTGGCCATGGGAAGCATCAGAGAAGCTGGATGCTTTACCACTTACCCTGATGGAAAAAGAAAGGAGAAGCAAATGACTTAAACATAGAAAGCAAACACAGCCCCCGCATGCTGGGACCAGGCACAGGTGGACAGAAGACACAGCTTCAGGGTGGACCTTTATGTCAGAAAGCGGGCATGTTTCTCCCTTTGGAACAGGGTACTGAGCTCTCCCTCTTGACTGTTTACCAGATTAAGTCAAATATACTTTCTTTAATGTGGGTGCCAAAAATGGTCATGCCAAGGGAAAATAATAACTTCCAAATTAAGTCAACACACAGAAAAATCAAGAAATTTGTTTGGAGGGAGAGAATACCTGAATAACTAACTCATTTTCAAATTCAGAGGGCTTGCTCATTCATTACATTCATCCTGGACTCCAGTCCCTGTTCATTCTCAACTTTAAATCACCCACCTGTTAACAAAATTATTCTTGAGGAAAACTACTGGAATATCTGAGAAAGTACCACAGTATTTTTTTGCATAATTCCAATATGGTCCCTACTTTTTGTATTGTTTGTTTAGATATTGTGACTGTTCACATGGTAACTTTATGATTTTCCTCACCTTTATTTCTGAGCACTCATAGAGTCAAGTGTACACTTAACATCCCAAGAGGGTGGATGAGTTATTACCATGGAATTTTAACCCATATACCCAGATTTTTTTTTCTTTTTTTTTGAGACAGAGTCTCACTCTATCAGGTTGGAGTGCAATGGCGTAATCTTGGCCCACTGCAACCTCTGCCACCGAGGTTCTAGTGATTCTCCTGCCTCAGCCTCCCAAGTAGCTGGGATTACAGGCACCTGCCACTGAGCCTGGCTAATTTTTGTAGTTTTAGTAGAGACGGGGTTTCACCATCTTGGCCAGGCTGATCTTGAACTCCTGACCTTGTGATCTGCCCACCTCAGCCTCCCAAAGTGCTGGGATTACAGGTGTGAGCCACCACGTCCAGCCCCAGAGATTTTAATTGACTGGCTATTTTGGCTTACTGGCTGACATTACCTCTGTTAGATTCCACTCATTCCCCAGCTTCTGGCAAGGAACCTCTGTTCTCTTAGCATAATGTTCTCAAGGTTCATCCATGTTGTCACATATTGCAAAATGTCTTTTTTAGGTCTGAATAATATTCCATTGTATGTATACACAAATATTATATGACTCTGCTTATATGAGATATCTAAAGTAGTCAAATCCAGCTGAATGTGGTCACTCAGGCCTTTCATCCCAGCACTTTGAGAGGCAGAAGCAGGTGAATCACTTGAGCCCAAAAGTTGGAGACCAGCCTAGGCAACATGGCAAAACCCTTTCTCTGCAAAAAATACAAAAATTAGCCAAGTGTGGTGGCATGTGCCTGTAGTTCCAGCTACTCAGGAGGCTGAGGTGGGAGGATGGCTTGAGTCCAGGAGGTCAAGGCTGCAGTGAGTTATGATTGCTCCACTGCACTCCAGCCTGGGTGACAGAGTGAGACCCTGTCTTAAAAAAATAAATAAAATATAAAGTAGTCAAATCATAGAAACAAAGAGGTCACCAGGGGCTGGGAAGACGGGGAAGTAGGCAGTTGCTAATCAGTGGGCATAAAAGCTTCAGTTAAACAATAAAAGTAAGTTCTAGAAATCAGCCATACAACACCATATCATTAATGCTACATTGGACACTTTAAAAGTTGTCAAGAGAGTGGATTTAACATTAAGTGCATTCTCATATGCTAAAGTCATATTAAGAATAAGAAAGAGTCATCCAGTCAGACGGGTTGGCTCCCACCTGTAATCTTCGCACTTTGAGAGGCCAAGGCGGGTGGATCACCTGAGGTCAGGAGTTCGAGACCAGCCTGGCCAACATGGTAAAACCCTATCTCCACTAAAAATACAAAAATTAGCTGGGTGTGGTGGTGCATGCCTGTAATCCCAGCTACTTGGGAGGCTGAAGCAGGAGAATCCTTTGAACCTGGGAGGCAGCGGTTACAGTGAGCCGAGATCGTGCCACTGCACTACTGCACTCCAGCCTGCACGACAGAGCCAGACTCCATCTCAAAAAAAAAAAAAGAAAGAAAGAAAGAAAGAGTCATCCATTGTCAGGGTCTTCCTGCTCTCTGCTTCCATTCTTTCCACTGCCTACCACGTCTAGGCTTTTCTTCCCGCCATTCACCTGAAACTCCTTTCATCAAAATCTCTAGTGACCTTCCAGCTGTCAAATTAAAAGAAAACTCTTAGTTCCCCATCTTAATAGACTTCACTATGAAATCTGATGGTGCTGGCCCCTCTGCTCTCTGGGAAATCCTCCTGTGTTTTTCTCCCATCACCCTGGCTGCCTTCGTTCTTGCACTCTGCTATGGTCATCTCCATCTCTGGTACGGTTTGGCTGTGTCCCCACCCAAATCTCATATTGAATTGTAATCTGAATTGTAACCCCATGTGTCAAGGGGGGGACTTGGTGGGAGGTGACTGGATCATGAGGGCTATTCCCCCATGCTGTTCTCATGATAGTGAGGAAGTTCTCACAAGATCTGGTTGTTTGATAATTGCCTGGCACTTCCCCCTTCTTGCTTTCTCTCTCTCCTGCCCCCATGAGAAGACGTGCCTTGCTTACCCTTCTTCGTCTGCCATGATTGTAAGTTTTCTGAGGCCTCCTCAGCCACACAAAATTGTGAGTCAGTCAAACCTCTTTTCTTTATAAATGGTTAAAGACCCAGTCTTGGATCATTCTTTATAGTAGTGTGAAATCATTCTTGGGTTTTGGTGGGTTTTTTGTTTGTTTTGTTTTGTTTTGTTTTTGAGACAGAGTCTCGCTCTGTCTCCCAAGCTAGGGTACAGTGGTGCAATCTCTGCTCACTGCAACTTGCACCTCCCACATTCAAGCAATTCTCCTGCCTCAGCCTCCCAAGTAACTGGGACTAGAGGCGCCTGCCACTGTGGCCAGCTATGAAATCATTCCGTTTTTGAAATGATGTTGTAATCTAAAAGATTCCAGCAGCATTTCTCCCACTTCCAATATGTTCTGGTTTGCCCTGATAGTTCCTAAAACATATTTTCAGCTCAGAAAATCCTCCTGAGAACCAGACTTCTACAATCAATTTGTACATTTTGTGAGCAAACCCATTATCTTTTCTTCAACATTCCCTAGACTTTTGATGATGATCTTCCTTCCCTGTGCCCTACCTTCATGGAGCATAGTACCATCCCCATTCATACAAACCAGAAGCCTGGATTAATCCACAGCACTCCCTGCCCATCTTCTCTTCTACCTAAATCCCAACAGTCCCAGCCAGCTATAACTCCTGAACCTTTTTTGTGTGTGTTTTCTCTTCTCCTCCATTTCTACTACTATTTTATTACTTCTTTTCTCTATTAACATAAGAGCATCACATCTAGCCTCCCTGAATCCATTTTGCAGAAATCTATCTTTCATCTTCCTGTTGATCTTTTGAAACACAAATTTAATCATGCTAGTTCCCTGCTTAAAATCCTTTACTAGTTTCCCATTATTTTCAGGATAAAGTTCAAACGTCTTAAATTGGGGGAAGATAAACATTGAAAAGAAAGGATAAACCAATGAAAAATAACTTCTTACTTGGACAAAGGTATTTTGCAATGTGACCTTCATCTGCTGTCCATCTATCTCTTACTATCTACTACTGCTCCTCTCAGCACATCTCTTCAGCCCAATTCTACTACATATGAATATAGTCCTATACATATTTTCCAAATAGAAGTTTACCTTTCTGTCTTTTTACATTCTGCTCCATTTGCCTAGGAGGTCTTACCTCTCTTATGTCCTTATTGATCTGTGTAATGCATACTTGACCTTCAAGATGCAGCTCAACTATTTTGCCTCCTCTGGGAGACCTTCCTTTATGACCTCATTTGCCTCCCCCACTCTCCTCTGTGTTCATAATACTGATAAAACTGTTCTCCAATCTGTATCTTTTTCTTCCATTCTGTTGAGTTGCTTCTAATGTTTGGCACATTGTGGGAACCCAGTGGATGTTTGATGATTGGATGAATGAATGAATGAGTGACTATTAGGCCAAATGATAAAGGAGAGTTGGGGGCTAATCTGCTGTGTGGTTAAAAGAACTACTTAACTCTTCTAGACCTAAATTTCTTTACCCATAAAATTAGGAGGTCATACTCAAAAACAGTGAAAGTTTGTGCTTAGCTCCAATATTCTATGATCTCCATGACTTAGTTCACAAAAAAGCATGACCAGTCACGAGAATTGTATGGTGTAGAATCAGTTCATGGCCCATACACCTTCATTGCGGACTGACCGCAACTTGGCTTCCAGTTTACTAAATAGACTCCTAAATCACAGAAGTTTGAATGTAAAATTGTCTTCCAAGGAGAGAGGTACATATTCCCATGAGAAATCTTAAGCTTAACACTCCCACTGATATTTTTTATCAAATATTTCTACTATTGACATAAATTTACCTTTATGCTTATGTTTATATTTATATACATGTAAAATTGTGATATATACTTTTGAAAACTCGTCTAAGCTTAAAAGAGCCTTTTGAAGTATAGAATTAAAAGCTTTTTTAAAAAAAACAAATTTATTTCTGTAGGTTTTTGGGTAACAGGTAGTATTTGGTTGCATGAGTAAGTTCTTTAGTGGTGATTTATGAGATTTTGGTGCACCCATCACCCAAGAAGTATACACTGAATCCAATTTGTCATCTTTTATCCCTCACCCCCTTCCCACCCTTTCACCCTGAGTCCCCAAAGTCCTTGTATCATTCTTCTGCCTTTGCATCCTCATAGCTTAGCTCCCACTTATGAGTGAGAATATACAATATTTGGTTTTCCATTCCTGAGTTACTTCACTTAGAATAATAGTCTTCAGTCCCATCCAGGTTGCTGCAAATGCCATTAATTCATTTCTTTTTATGGCTGAGTAGTATTCCATCATATATGTTTGTGTGTGTGTGTGTGTGTGTGTGTGTGTGTGTGTATGTGTGTGTGTGTGTGTGTGTGTGTGTGTATGAGAAACAGTTTATTTATCCATTCATTGACTGATGGGCATTTAGGTTGCTTCCACATTTTTGCAATGGTGAATTGTGCTGCTATAAACACATGTGTGCAAGTATCTTTTTCGTATAATGACTTCTTTTCCTCTGGGTAGATATCCATTTGTGGGACTGCTGGATCAAGTGGTAGTTCTACTTTTAGTTCTTTAAGGAATCTCCACGCTGTTTTCCATAGTGGTTGTACTAGTTCGCATTCCCACCAGCAGTGTAGAAGTGTTCCCCTTTCACCACATTCACACCAACATATATTATTTTTTGATTTTTTGATTATGGGCATTCTTGTGGGAATAAGGTAGTATTGCATTTTGGTTTTGATTTGCATTTCCCTGATCATTAGGGATGCTGAGCATTTTTTCATATGTTTGTTGGCCTTTTGTATATCTTATTTTGAGGATTTTCTATTCATAGCCTTAGCCCACTTTTTGATGGGATTGTTTTTTCTTGTTAATTCATTTGAGTTTGTTGTAGATTCTGGATATTAGTCCTTTGTCAGATAGATAGACTGTGAAGATTTTCTCCCACTCTGTGGGTTGTCTGTTTGAAATAAATTGACTTTTAAGAGGGTTGAGTGATGTTCAGACTATCAGAGTATTCCTGGGGAAGTGGGTGTAAGTGTGGCAGTCTAATGACTGAACCCAGGTCTGTTTCTAAATATACCTTTGCCTTTTCTTGTAGATGGAAGCCCTTACACTTGGTGGGTTGGCAAAGCCAACGAGAAGCACTACTACTGGGGAGGCTCTGGGCCTGGAATCCAGAAATGTGCCTGCGGCATCGAACGCAACTGCACAGATCCCAAGTACTACTGTAACTGCGACGCGGACTACAAGCAATGGTGAGTGCCTGCGGGCAGCACAGCCAGGCTCACCCTCCCAGTGTGCCTTTGTGTCAAACTCATGTGATAGAAGAAAGTTTGAAAAGTGCTATAATAATACGATAATAGGGTAGAAAGGTCTGGAACTAACCCAACTGACAAATGTCAGGAACATACTGAAAAATATAAAAGCAGAAAGAGGTCAGTGCGACAAGGGTATGCATTTAGAAACTGAGACATAATTGATGTGTTCATATTTTATTCAGAGAGGAAAATAATGAGCCATGTTGTAGACAGTGATTTGCATTATAAAATGTGCTGTGTAACAATAGAGGGATGGCTGGGGGCGGGAAGCCAGTGTGCATGAGTGCAGGCAGTCAACAGCCTCCTGCGGGGAGCACAACCACCTCCTGCAATGTTTGCGTTGGGGATCTGGATTGGAAAAATAGGAGAGAGAGAGAGAGAAGGGAAAAAACAAAGAAACAGAAAAAATCATTCTTTGCTCTTGTCTTCTGTAAGTGCTTGCCTGTCTACTTTTCTTTCATACCTGGAATTGTTTATAACTCTGATACAAATCAGTTCAAGAAAGATCTATTTTGGGTTTCTTCGATCCCTTTGCTGGCTTTTGTTCTGCCCCGCAGTGAATAGCTGGGTCTGTGTCAGTAACAGATAAAGATAAGATCAGCTGCCATTCTTTGTGAAAAAGGCCCCAGAAGTTTAGGTGGAAGACTATAAACCTAAGTGTGATTCTTTGCAGAAGCACATATCCAGTGCCGGCTTTCTACATTTTTAGAAGTGTTGAGAGGCTCCATTTCTGCTTCTGGGCAGCTGTGCACATAGCCAGTCATGGTCATGAATTTCCCCATATGCCCAGCCATGGTTTTCTTCAGTTCACCTATGTAGTATGCTATTTACAGGGACAGTTTACAAGACAAATTCATTCCACCAGTTAACCAAAAACAAATTCTGAGAACGTAACTTTATATGAATTTCAGGTAGGATGTCTGCTTACTTTCTGAAAGTTATATTTCTTCTAGTAAATATAACAAATTACAAAGCCTATCTATTTCAATGGCTTAGAATGTGTGTGTATATGTGTGTAAAATACTTGTAAATAGCTATCATTAATCTTTAATTATGGATTATTGTAAAGAAGAGATCATGATAATTTTTAATTTTATTTCTTTGAAAGATGTATCTACACACACACACACACACACACACACACACTGTATACAAAGATTGGAAGTTGGGAATGGAGTTAAAAGGGCATGGTCTTTGAAATTAACCTTTTATTCATTCGTTCAATCATTCATTCAGTGAATCATCCAATCAGTCATTCATTCAACAAATATTGATCAAATACTTATGAGTCAGCAACTCTTCTAGGCACTGGGGATAAAATACCAAATGCAAAGAACAAGAATCCCTGTCCTGACTCACATTCTTGTTCTTGATGCCTTTTATTACTAGTTGTGTGTTCTTAAGCCAGGCAGACCTTCTCCCATCCATTTGTCTATCCAACATTAATTCCCTACCTCTTCAGGAAGCTGACATTGGGTTCAGCCTCCCCAACTAGGAGAAGTGGGAACAGAGCCCCAGCTGGTTCATTGTCCAGGCAGCCCAGAGTGCCCTGCCACCATCACCTTGTCCCACCACAGAGGAGAGAAGAGGGATTCAGAAAGAGTAAGATCTAGTACCTGCACCTAAGTGAACTTCATTTTTATCAGACATCATGCTAAGTTCTAGGGATACAGTGATGAATGGAACATGGTATTTGTCCTCAGGAGCTCCAAAACTAGTTGAAGGAAACACACATGTGCACACACAAATAGATAACATAATACAGTCAGTGTTGTGAGGAAGGTGTGTGCAAGATACAACAAAAACTAATGAAAGTGGCGGGGCGTAGTGGCTCACGCCTATAATCCCAGCACTTTGGGAGGCCGAGGCCAGCAGATCACCTGAGGTCAGGAGTTCGAGACCAGCCTGCCCAACAAGGCAAAACCCCGTCTCTACTAAACATAGAAAAAATTAGCCGGGCATGGTGGTGGGTGCCTGTAATTGCAGATACTCGGGAGGCTGAGGCAGGAGAATCGCTTGAACCCAGGAGGCGGAGCTTGCAGTGAGCCAAGATCCCAGATCGTGCCACTGCACTCCAGCCTGGGTAACAAGAGTGAAACTCCATCTCAAAAAACAAACAAACAAACAAACAAAAAAAAACTGATGGAAGAAATTTTCAATCTAACTGGAGGAGTGAAGGAAGGAATCCATAACGTCTTGGAGGAAGAGGCATAAACTTGAAAGACAAGGAAAAGCAAGGGCCCTGGGACACTCGCCCTTGCATGGTGGTCTTGGAGAAGAAGCATGACGGAGCTGGGCCAGGCTGGGGAACTGTCTGTGCAGTTGACAGTTTTGAAAACATTAAGGCCCTAGCATGACATCTGTGTCTAAACCCTGAGGGCTACCATTAGTAGAATTACAGGTTGAAAACATAGATTTTTTTTTTGAGATGGGGTCTCACTCTGTCACCCAGGATGGAGTACAGTGGCAAAACCTCGGCCCACTGAAACCTCTGCCTCCCCGGTTCAAGCAATTCTCCTGCCTCTGCTGGCACCTGCCACCATGCCCAGCTAATTTTTGTATTTTTAGTACAGACGGGGTTTCACCATGTTGACCAGACTGGTCTTGAACTCCTGACCTCAAGTGATCCACCCTCAGCCTCCCACAGTGCTAGGATTACAACCATGAGCCACCATGCCTGGCCAAGATAGATCTTTATTTTTTTTATTTTTTATTTTTTTTTTTGAGACAAGGTCTTGCTCTGTTGCCTGGGCTGGAGTGCAGTGGCGCAATCTCAGTGATTCTCCTGCTTCAGCCTCCCAAGTAGCTGGGACTACAGGTGCCCACCACCATGCCCAGCTAATTTTTGTATTTTTAGTAGAGTTGTGATTTCACCATGTTGGCCAGGCTGGTCTTGAACTCCTGACATCAAGTGATCTACCTGCCTCGGCCTCCCAAAGTGCTGGGATTATAGGCGTGAGCCACGGCGCCCAGTCACAAGATTGATTTTTAAAGATATATATTAGCCTCTGAAGCCATTTCAAAGAACATGTCTGAATTCAGATCACAGATTAGAAGACATTCCATTCCACCCTTATTCCCAGACCTCCTCCTCTGGCAAGCTTCAATTGAGTTCTAACATTTCACAGTTACTCAGGGACTTGGTCACTGCTGGTGTCTTGTTCTCTTCTGGCTTAGCAGCAGCTAAGACATCCCACTCCTTTGCTTCCGTAAAGTTTGTCTAATATTTCATAATAAAGGCACTATAGCTTGAGCAAACTGAAAAGTATAATGAATATTTTTTTTTTTAAGAGACGGAGTCTTGCTCTGTCACCCAGGCTGGAGTGCAGTGGCATGATCTCAGCTCACTGCAAGCTCTGCCTCCCGGGTTCACACCATTTTCCTGCCTCAGCCTCCCGAGTAGCTGGGACTACAGGCGCCCACCACCACGCCTGGCTTATTTTTTGTATTTTTAGTAGAGACGGGGTTTCACCATGTTAGCCAGGATAGTCTCGATCTCCTGACCTCGTGATCTGCCCACCTCGGCCTCCCAAAGTGCTGGGATTACAGGCTTGAGCCATCGCGCCCAGCCATGAATGTTTTTTATAATAAATAGCTCTTAAAATGGTCTTCCCTTTTTAGCACAAGAAAGAATGCTCTTGGAGAAATCTTCTTGGTCTTTGAATTCACCAGCACCTAGCAAAGGCCCTCCTTCCTATGTGGATGCTTTAGATATTTGGGAGTGGATGGGGTTGCTTCTAGAGACACTTTCTAAAGCTCTCAGGGGCAGTGAAGAGAAAGTTGAGCTTGATGCGGGTAGACCTTACATCCAGGCCCAGATTTGCCACTTTTGGGGGAGGCTTTTAACCTCTCTGAAATTTAATTTATTATCTGTATAATAAAAATAAATCTTGGCAAATTTTTGTGATCATTAAGAATATAGAATATAAAAGCCTTCTATAAATTATACTATATGGGATAGTTATTTGCAATTCTATTGCATTATTTTAAAATTTATTTTCTTTATTTATTTATTTTGACACAGAGTCACTCTGTCAACCAGGCTGAGGTACAGTAGTGTGATCTAGGCTCACCGCAACCTCTGCCCCCAGTCTCATGGCTCAGCCTCCCAAGTAGCTGGGATTACAGGCACGCATCACCATGCCTAGCTAATTTTTTTTTTTTTGTATTTTTAGTAGAGATGGGGTTTCACCAGGCTGGCCTTGAACTCCTGACCTCAAGTGATCCATCCACCTCAGCCTCCCAAAGTGTTAGGATTACAGGCATGAGCCACCACAACTGGCCCTTATCACAATTCTTAATGATTCCAATTGACTCTTAAATGAAAATAAATGAAAACAGAGCGTGGCAAGTAGGCCCCTTCATGCTCTTGACCTGCTGTGTCGTAGGCCTCAAGTCTAATTCCACAACGCCACATGCAGATGTTATGAAACAGGCTTTACTAGAGAAAGTTATAAATCAGGGATCATCATCAGAAGAGCAAGTACAGGTCTCCAATCCCATCATCCCTCAGGGAGACGTGCGAAAGCCAGGCTATTCCGCTGAATGCACCAAGGGCATTCGTTACCAGGAAGCCCCTGCTTCTCTCACTTCTCACAAAGCAAAAATGACAGCAACTTTGTCAGTAGGGGAAAATCAGATGCATGGGGCACCAGGCAGTCTGGGCATAGGTGCCTGCTGTTTACAAGTGTTGTCTGGGAGTCAGAGCCCCTCCAGGAACAGGGAGGAAGCCAGAGCCCCTTCTTGAAGCTGACTTTGGGTGTAGTCTCTCTAACTAGGAGAAGTGAGGAACACTGTCCAGGCAACCTGGAGTGCACTGTCACGATCATTGCTGTTCAGTTTTTTTGTTTCTCCAAACACAGAGAAGGGCTGGGAGATTATGGGAAATAAAAATGTAGCACATACATCCAAATGAAACTCACATATGTTAAACCACGTTTGTTGTAATGTCAGGGTAAAAATAAAGGTTCTATTAAATCTCATGCTTTTAGATGCTTTGTCCAGTTAAGAAAGCTATTTTCAATAATCTGAATCACAAAGCATCATTGGATTAAGATGAACTAAGACCAAAATGAGGACAAAGTACCCGTGCCACTTCCTTTCTGTGTGATCTAAGTCAGGATATTTCACATCTTTGTTTTCTTATCAGCAAAATAGAAATAGATAGTATAGTACTTCCCAAGTCATGTAAGGATCTTGGTAAATTGCTGTCATAAATGAAAGTTTAAAATTACAGTGTGATATATTATTTTTATTATTATTTGAATGTTGAATGGAACCTTAGCTAAAAATTATTTTAAAATGTCTTAAATTACAGATGCATAAATTGGGGCCCTGAAAAATGTAAATTACTTTCAAAAAATTACAGTAGAAATGAGGAGTAGAAAGAAGACCAAAGACACACATCTCCAAACACCCAGGCCAGTGTTCTTCCACAATATCAGGATCAAGGAAGTTTTTTTAATATTGTTTTTATCTATCTTTTTAATGATTTCAGAATGTAATTTTTAACTAGCTTATATGTAAGCTTTAAATTTAAAGCTTAAACCACAGACCACATTATATGTTCTTTTTCTAAGAACTCTAAAACTTAGATTGAATACTTATTCTTATTTACTGGTGTAAAATGCATAAAAATGGAGCCAGGATAAATGAGATTGCAGCTCAGAGCATGATTGGGTCTCACAACGAAGCTGCAATGGCCTGTGAGTACGATCACCATTTCAATAATTGCCTGATTATCTATGCTGGGAGAAGTTTTGCGCAGTTATTTCTGAGATTGAATGTAATTTAACATTTATGATTTACTATTCACAGCAATAGTAAATATTCCCACCTACAGTGCCAGAATTCTAATTACACGAGTCTTGGTCTCAGCTAAGTGGCCACTGCTGGGTAATTCCTGGTCTCTTGCAGCCTGACTCAATGAGCTAAATCACCATATCTGAAATTAGCAATTCGAAAATGAAATTATCAGGGAAAGAATTGCCATTCATTGCGTGAGTACCCTTCTCTTATTGTAGAATTTCTGGATAGTTATGTCCTGGCCAAGATGGGCACATACATGGTGGAAAATAAGTGAAGTGAAAAGCCGTTAGCACAGTCTTTGTGTTACAATTAGTCAGCAGTTCCCACCTCAACATTAGAAAGGCCAAATACTAGCCGTTGTGCTCTCTTTCGCTGACCCTAAATGGAATTGGCTTGTCTAACAGCCTTTTTCTTCCTGGGCCAAAAATAATCCATGACCAACTTTTATAGCAGCTGAGGGGAGTTAACTAAAAAATATCTTCGATATTTCAAAGCCAGAAACATATTTATTTGGTTGGGTCAGCTTACTATCCAACACCTAATTCTGAATATTTTTAAAAATAATCGTTATAATTTTTTGTCCTTGTTTATAAGAAATTTGATTGAATCTTAGTGACTTTTTTCATGAAGTTTTAGACTGCCTCTTACTCAAAGTGAAATATTTATATATGCATTCTCATTCGTCATGTTGTTTAAATAATAGTAGTTACATGTCAGCCACTGTTCATGTATGTTTCATATACTGTGTCATTTAAACATCTCATTGACTCTATGCCAAAGGTACTACATATTTTGTCTTTATTTTAGAAATGCTCCAGAGAGATTAATTTCTCCCACAAGGTCATATAGTTAAAAAGCAGTAGAGCAGAGATTCAAACTCGGGGCAAGCAACTTTAGACTCATCCTTAGGAATTACACACCAAGACTGTATTAGCCTGTTCTCATGCTGCTAGTGAAGAGACACCCGAGACTGGGTAATTTATAAAGGAAAGAAGCTTATTGGACTCACAGTTCCACATGGATGGGGAGGCCTCACAATCATGGCAGAAGGCAGAGGGAAAAGTAAAGCCACGTCTTACATGGCTGCAGGCAAGAGAACTTGTGCAGGAGAACTCCCATTTATAAAACCATCAGATCTCATGAGACTTAGTCCCTACCAGGAGAACAGTATGGGGGATACCACCCCCATGATTCAATTATCTCCACCTGGTCCCGCCCTTAACATGTGGGGATTATTACACCTCTGGGTGAGATTTGGGTGGGAACACAGCCAAACCATATCAAAGATGTAAGTTCTGTATAAATTTTTCACCTGTGTACTATATACAGCACAATTTCATTTTTTTTCCAATTTTTATTATGGTAAATACACATAAAATGAACTATCTTAACCATTTTTACTTTTACAATTCAATGGTATTAAATGCATTCATTTTGTTGTGCAATCATCACCATCATCCATCTCCAGAGCCGTTTTTATCTAGCAAAACTGAAACGCTATACCCATTGAACAGTAATTCCCCATTTCCCTCTCCTCCTAGCCCCTGGCCAGTTAACCTTAAATAATGAGTTCAGAAAATGTGATTAAATATAGAGTTTATTCCAGCTCAAAGCCTGAGGATAGCCACCAGGGAAACACCAACTCCAAGTGAATGGGGTCAGCTTTCCAAAGTGGGAAAGTTAAGGTTTCACTTACATAGGCAGAAATAGAGAAGGTTAACAGGGTTGCAACATTTGCCATATAAGGCCAGCACAGATGTTACGGTCATTTGATTGGTTACAGTTTGCTATGTTCCAAGGAAGATTGCTTTAACATTCCATAAGGAGGGGTAATGGTCTCGAGGGGTCTTATTTCTGGAACCATTTGGTCTTTTCTAATCATTTACAGGACAGAAATGAGGAAGAGATTTAATCTATAATCAGAGAAGCAGAAGTTGCAGCTGCACGTGGCATAACTCAGGCCACATAACCACATTTCTCTCAAGGCTCAAAATAATGTAAAGTTCCAACCATTTTAAGTTTGAATTATTTGATTTCACACCACCATCGTTCTATTTTCTGTCTCTGTGATTTTGACTGCTCTAAGAACCTCATGTGAGTGAATCATATAGTATTTGTCTTTTTGCAGTTGGCATATTTCACTTAGTATAATGTCCTTAAGTTTTGCCTATTTTGTAGCATGTATCAGGATTTTCCCCCTTTTTAAGATGGAATAATATTCCATTGTGTGGGTAGAATACATTTTGCTTCTTCATTCATTTGCCAAGGGACACTTTTATTTCCACATTTTAGTGACTGTGAATAACGCTGCTACGAGCACGGTGGTACAATTTCTTTTTAACGTCTACTTTTACTCACCTCTGTAGTGCTCCTGATTTGGTTTCTAAAAATCTCTTATTTTAATTTTATATTAAAAGTATTCATTATGACAAATACATTCAAATTATTTTCTGAATGTGACCTGATTTCAAATCCTAGTCCTATTGCTTGCTAGTTCAGTGACCTTCAGCAAGTTATAAAAGCTGTCAATGACTGTTTCCTTAACCACAGCATTTAAATGGCACTCACAGCTACCTCACATGGTAGAAAGGGAGTTTAAATGAGAGGATACTCATAAGGGAGAAGGCACATCCATATTTCACTAGTAAATGCTCAAGAAATATTGATTCCAATTACACCCAAGCACACACAGATAAGGGTTAGCTCATGGGTTCCCCAGGAGCAGCCTCTTCAGTATTCAAAAACAACTCATTGGGCCCCTCTGTTCTGACCTCCTTGCCTGCATGCCTTGCTGCCACCCTGCTGCTGACACTGCCCTCCTGAGATCCTTACTCTGCCAGCTGCAGCTGTCTCAGCCTGTGACAGTCACTGATGCCCTTATGGAGAGATGGAGAGGGCCCCCTACTCAACCTCAGTGCAGTGGAAACGAAGCTATGGCTTTCAGCAAGACTTGACAAGGATTGGAGCTAACAGAAATTTTACACTGAGAGAAACTTGCAACTGCTTCCTGAAATAGCCACTCTTCAAATCCAGGCAGGAGCCCAGCCCCTGAGACCCTGCCAAGCTCCCAGCGAAGCCTCCTATGGGTCTCAACCCTGCTTTCATTAATGAGGCTCCTCAGGCATTTGGATCCAAGCCAAACCTCCTCCAAGCCCCAGAGGAAGAAGAAGTTCTTCTTCATCCCAAGCCCTACCTCAGTTCCTACAGGAGGAACATTTGCTTCTCAGGCTGATTGATAGTGCAATAATTAAATCCCTTAAGGAGGAAATTCCCAGCTTAAGCCACAAAGGTGTGCGTCAATCACCTGGCCTGAACGGGAGCATCGCTGTGGTCTGTTCTGGGACCTGGGTTTGTTGAGTGCATTTCTCCAAGCTAAGATTCCAGTCTTCAGGGACGCCTCCTGTAGGACAACAGTCTAATGCAATGTGTGCAGTGACAATATCAGTCAAGTTTTATTTCATGATGTCTCCTCATAAAGAGAAGAGAAGGTAAAGTCAGCAAGCTCCTCCTTCTATGATTTCATGGGAGAAAAAGCCAAGACAAAAATGTAACACATGTCCAAAGGATAAAAAGGAGCTTCCAGGGATAAGCCAGTTTAAATCCAGATTTATTGGGGGAGGAAGGAGCATCTCTCATACTGCTGGCACAAGGTCCTGCTAAATTTACAGTATTCAACAGAAAAATCACTTCGCAAGGAATATTCCATTTTAATTCCTGCCCCCAAATTCAGGAGCAATATGGAAGTACTTGCCAGGCATGTCCACAGATGAAAAGCCACAAAAGTGATCTCTCAGGAAATAGAGATTTTACCCTCAGTGACAACACTGGAAATCACTTTATAACCACTGCTTCCATTCCACCTGCTCCCACCTTAGACAAACAAACACAAATGGTTTTTACAGCTTCAGATTTTTAGGGCCCAACAACAGGCAGTTCAATGAAGGAAAGATAAAGAAACATGGACAATGGATATTTAAAAAGAATTTCTGTTTCATAGGTTTTAAAAAAGGTTTCTAACATCAGTCTGGAAAACAGAAACCTTAATACGAGACAGAAGGTACTGCACGATGGCAGCTAGGAGCCTGGCTATAGAGTCAGACCATCTACGTTTATGTTCCTCCTCCAACACTCAGCCAGTTAGTAAGACCTGCCTGTGCCTCAGTTTTCTCTTATCTACAGTGGAGATGAAAAGAGCGTGTCTCCAGAGATGATGTGAGAATCAGGGGACCCAAGCAAGCTGAGCATCATTCTTTGTCCTGTCAGTGGCAATGGGACTGGAAACATAACCTTTAGTACAACTGGGTAGGAATGTATGACTGAGGTTACTTTTTTGAGGGCTATTTGGGAATTGCCATCAAAACTTGAACACTACATTCTTTGACTGAATCCTTCACCATATGGCATGTACCATCTTAAAAAAAATATATGTTCTAAGGTGGCATATACCATTTTTTGTAGCAGTCAAAAAAAAAAAATAACCTGTAGACAGCAGAAATGTCCATGAATAGAGTTTCAGAAAATGATGTTATAAGGCTGGCCAAGGAATGAAGTAGATACATAAACACTTGCACAGAAAGATGGCCAAGATGAAAGTGAAAAAAGCAAGTTGACAAATAGCAGGTATAATACGAGTCTGGTGTTTCTTTTTTAAAAAAAAAATTATTTAGGCTGGTCGTGGTGGCTCACGCCTGTGATCCCAGCATTTTGGGAGGCCAAGGTGGGCAGATCACCTGAGGTCAGGGGTTTGAGACTAGCCTGGCCAACATGGTGAAACCCTATGTCTACTAAAAATACAAAATTAGTCAGGCATAGTGGCACATACCTGTAATCCCAGCCACTCGGGAGGCTGAGACAGGAGAATCACTTGAACCCAGGAGGCAGAGGTTGCAGTGAGCCAAGATCGCATCACTGCATTCCAGCTTGGGTGACAAGAGCGAAACTCCATCTAACCAAAAAAAAAAAAAAAGAAAGAAAAAAAATTATTTTTGAGAAGGGTCTCACTGTGTTGCCCCAGCTGAAATACAGTGACATGATCTTGGCTCACTGCAACCTCGACCTCCCCAGGCTCAGGTGATCCTCCCACTTCAGCTGGGACTATAGGCACAAACCACCACATCTAGCTAATTTTTTGTATTTTTTGTAGAGATGGGGGTCTTGCCATTTTGCCCAGGCTGGTCTCGAATTCCTGGGCTCAAGCAATCTGCCTGCCTTGGCCTCCCAAAATACTGGGATTACAGTTGTGAGCCACTGTGCCCAGCCTGGCATTTCTCTAATGTGTATAATCCATAACCTTTATACATGCATACATAATTTCTAGAAAATCTACAAAAGAAACAATTACAACGCAATAGATTAAGGATGTAGGACTTTATGGAGGACCTGGCTTGTCCCATTGTACATCTTATAAGCTCTTTGAATTTTTTGCCATGAACACATTTAACCTGATCAATTTAAGTATTTAAAAATAGTTTAGAAATTAAAATAAAAAATAAGAATCCTAGCCAGCATCCCAGTACATAATAAAACAATACTAAATTCTTATTTTAAGAAAAATCAGATCAAAGACTAATTTTCACATCATCAACAACAAAACCAAACAAAGCATCTTACTGGCTCTCCTGGCCCCAATATTGGAAGGAATTTCTCAGCAAGCTGGAGGATTCCTCCGCTCAGCGGGCGCCGTGAAACTGAGAATATTCATACCATTAGCCCTGTAACCACATGCAAAACAAAATAGTTTTTTCATTGATCTGAGTTCTGTGGAACTCATGTTTGTGCTCTTAAATCTTTTGGAATCCTTCTGGGGAACAATCACTTGACATCCCAATACTCAGTGGTCTTATTCGTGCATATTATAGGAATATGATATTATGAGGAGTACTGGTATCAGTTATGACACCAGTTGCTAAACTGACCAGAAAGATTGTTGATATTCAAATAAATGTGTGTGCATGTGCTTGTCTGTGTGTGTGTGTATAAAATAAAATGTTAAAATGGACAGCTATCAATATATTTTCTTTCTAGATACATAAACGGAGATGCCCTCCTGATCTCATGAAGGCCATTTTCATTAAGTTAAGCTTTGTTCATTTTCATTCAGTTAAGCTTTGTTTAAAAAAAAAAAAAAAAGATATTGCTTTACCAGTGATCTGGGTGGCGGGCGGGGGTGAAGAAGAAGAAAAAAAAGGAAACTCTTAATTTTAGTCCTATTTAGCCCCAAAGCATGTGTTTCAGTATTAGAGCATGGCCAGAGCAGTTTTCAAAAGGGTTACACCATCCCGTGTACGTTACTCCTTATACTGACTCCACTGTGGTTTACTTGGCAGATTTGAGCTATGCTGAAGTTGCCTCTTAACAGGAGATTCCTAGAGCGTCTAACAGCTCAACTCTTTTAGGAGCTTAACTACTTTTTAATATGTGGGTCAGGGTTAAGAGCCTCAGGCAAGGGCTTCTGCCCTCTTTCGTTAGGAATTTACCTTGGGGATGAACTAAAAAACTTCAGGAGGCTCATCCAGGCAGGTTCCAGATAGCTCAAATTGCAAAGCTACCTGGAAAGCCACTGTGTTTCTGCAGCCCTGTGAGTGAAACACCTGTTATTGGCAATGGGGAAGGGGAAATGTCCTGTCTCTCCCAGTTCCCCAAAGAAGCATAAAAATGATGTATTATATACTGTCTCAGGGACATTTTGGTGCCAACCCACTTGGCACAGCATAGAATCCTCCTGTCACCTCATGGATTGTATCATGACAGAAGGGTAATTGGGCACCGGAGAAGATGTCAGCAGAGTGTCAATACGGTTTGGCCACTGCCCCCAAATAATATTGATGACAGCAAAGAGAGCGATTAATCAGGTGTGATCCTGTCAAATGTTCAGAGTGTGCTGTGGGTACTAGAAATAGATATAGCCTACCAACAAAATGTTAAATGGACTTAAACAAAATAGATTATTTAGTCATTTTGAGAAAAGCAGAACTAAGATTCAAAAGAGCTTTTTTTCTGAAAAAAAAAAAAAAAAATACAGTGTATTTCCCATTAGTATTTCTCTCCACTTGCTTGAAAAAGAGGGAGAGCTGTTATGTTTTCTGAAAAAAAAAAAAATGCATTCTGCCCAAAAAATCAATCATGGAAAAAAAAAGATCAAATTAAAAGAGATGTCATGGGATCTAAAGAAAAGTGCAGACGCAGCAATTGTAAAACACGTTATAATTGTGGACCTATCTGTTTATTTATTCTGTGTCCCACTGAAAGTTCACCCTCACACCCTCCCTACCAGGCCAGCCATCTCCTCCCATTACCCCCTCTTGATATTAATGATGCTCGCTCACTTGTAGTTTCCCACGTGTAAAACCCCATTGCCTTATGTATTATCAGTTGTTCACCATTTTCCATACATGGATTCTGTCTCCCCTGGGCCTTTCACAGACACCTGACCATCTGTGACCATGGCCTTTCTCCTAGTTCTAAATCTAAGCAATGGTATTGCAACAATCTTCCAAAATAACTTCCAGCCTTAAAACTCTCTTATCCTACAACTCTGTCTATAACTGTGGCCATCACTGGCTTCACATTAGAATCACCTGGAAAACTTAAACTATTACTTATCATTAGGCCCTGCCTCAGACTAATTAAATCAAAGTCTCTGGAGATTATTTTTGGCCATCTTTGATTTTGCAATTTCCTGAGGTTTCTAATGTGTAGCCAAGGTTAAAAACCATTGATATAGGGCTAGGTTAAGCTGCATATAACAGAAAAATAACTAAACAAGAGTGCTTAAACAAGATGAAAGTTAGTTCCCATGCATGTAAAGGAAGTCCAGGCTCCTTCCAGCTCTCTGTTCTGGTGTTATTCAGATTTGACATCCTCCTCAGGATCCAACATGGCTTCTAGAGCTCCAGCCATTATGCTTCCATTCCAGGCAGAAGGTAGAAAAGAGAGGAAAGAGAGCATGCCTTTTCCTTCCAAGAATGACTTTACATACCACTTCCATTTACGTATCATTGGCTGGAACTTTAGTTAACCACGACTAGCAGCAAAGATGGCTGGGTTCTGTAGCCTTTAACTGGGCATGAATATGCCTTCCTAAAAATGAGCATTCTGTTACCAAGGAAGAAGAGGAAAATGAGCATTAAGGGGCAACTAAGAGCCTCTGTCGGAAGTGTTAATTCTTCAAAGGGGCCCTGCTAGTCTCCTGTTCACACCTACAGTAGGTCCCTGTGATCTCCAGAATAAAGTCCAGACTCCTGCAGTTCTGGAGTCCCTCCTCACCTTGCATTCTCTGCTTTACCTCACTCACACTGGGGCCATTGTAAGGATATTTGTATTTTCTCATCGCTGGTCCTTTACCTACACCTAAAATAACTCTTCACATATCTGCGTTTTCAACATCATCTACTTCTGCAGAACCAGCGCCAGTGCTGCTTCCCAAGGAAACCTCCCTGCCTTTGCCCACACCCCTCATGTCTAGCAAAAGTCCATGCATAAAAGGCCTGCTTCCTGAGGGTCTCAAAGCAAATTACACTTATTTTAAAGTTATTTTCTCTCTTATCTGCAATTAGATGCCTGGGTATCTGAGTTCTCTCTCAAATTACAAGCTTCAGGAGGTCAAGCACCATACCTCATGTGTATTATAAGTCATTCATGCCTGTCACTTAGCAGCTAGTCAACATCTATTTGCAATGTAAGCCAAATGTGTAGCACTTTAGAGAATCCGGTTTTTTGTATGTATTTATAAACTTTCTTTTTGCATTGAGTCATAAACCCACATAGACATACACTCATCTCTGCTTTAGGCTTTGTAGATGGTTTTAGTTCACATAGCAAAAATTGGAAAGTTACTTTATATTCAATAGTGAGGTAAATCATCCAAGTCAGTTTTTAAAAAGATAATGGGTGTGTACTAATATGTATGTCCATACTCACATAGACACTGACACGTGTATACAAGTATATTACATGCACATCCTACATTACTAAATGTGATGTATAATGACTTTATTAATTTTTTTGGAAGCATGCTAGTTGTCTTAGGCTAATTTAATGCCCGGTATTAAGGTGAAATCAATTACTACCTTTTTTCATCAGGACTAGAGGAGGAAAAAAACAAACAGAAAAACTACCCTTATGCAGGAGGAATAATTCTAAAGACAGAAATACAGGATGTTTGGAAATGACCATCTGTGACGATATTTACCTGCTTGTCCCTGTCAGCCCTGGGAATGGTGTGTCTTTACCTTAGGTTACTATATTAGGCAGAATAATGGCCCCCAAGATGTTCACATTCTAATTCCCAGAACCTGTGAAGGTCCTACTTCATGTGGCAGAAGGGACTTTGCAGATGTAGTTCAAGGTACAGACTTTGAGATGGAGAGATTATCCTGGACTATCAGTGGGTGCCCAGTCAAAGCACATGACTTCTTAAAAGTGAGAAAAGACCCTTTCCTGGCTGTGATCAGAAAGAAATGTGATGACAGTAGTAGGCTCAGAGAGATGCTATATTGCTGGCTTTGAAGGTGGAGGAAGAAATCCATGAACTAAGACATAAAGGCATCCTATAGAGGCTGAAAGAGACAAGGAAATTGACTCTCACAGAGGCTCCAGAAAGGAACACAGCCCTGACACACCTTGATCTTAATACAGCCAGACCCATGGTCTGAATTCTAATCTACAGAACCATAAGATAATATGTTTGTCAGGTTTTGTTTTTGTTTTGAGACAGGTCTCACTGTGTCACCCAAGCTAGAGTGCAGTGGCGCGATCACAACTCACTGCAGCCTCAACCTCCCTGGGCTCAGATGATCCTCCCACGTCAGCCTCCTGAGTTGCCAGGACTATACGCATGTGCCACCATGTCTGGCTACTTTTTCTTTCTTTTTTTTTTTTTTTTTGAGACAGAGTCTTGCTCTGTCTCCCAGGCTGGAGTGCAGTGGCGCAATCTCTGCTCACTGCAAGCTCCGTCCCCTGGGTTCATGCCATTCTCTTGCCTCAGCCTCCCAAGTAGCTGGGACTACAGGCAGCCGCCACCACGCCTGGCTAATTTTTTGTATTTTTAGTAGAGATGGGGTTTCACAGTGTTCACTAGGATGGTCTCGATCTCCTGAACTCGTGATCCGCCCGCCTCGGCCTCCCAAAGTGCTGGGATTACAGGCGTGAGCCACCACGCCCAGCCTACATTTTCTATTTTTTGTGTTTTTCTCCGCGTTGCTCAGGCCAGTCTGGAACTCCTGGGCTCAAGTGATTCACCCACCTTAGCCTCCTAAAGTGCTGGGATTATAGGCATGAGCCACCGTGCCCGGCCACATTTCTGTTGTTTTAAGCTACTTCATTGGTGTTAATTTGCTAGGCAGCAATAAAAAATTAAGTTTCCTTCCTACGGTGGTGATGTCATCAAAAAGACCCCGTAAAGCTTTATTTTTTCCTCTCACATTGGTATAGAGTGAAAGTTCACTGGTAAAATAGCTTTGCAGAAACCTTAAAAAGTATGCCTTGGCCGGGCGCGGTGGCTCATGCCTGTAATCCCAGCACTTTGGGAGGCCGAGGCGGGCAGATCACCAGGTCAGGGGTTAGAGACCAGCCTGAACAACATGGTAAAACCCGTCTCTACTAAAAATACAAAAATTAGCTGGGCGTGGTGGCACATGCCTGTAATCCCAGCCACTCAGGAGACTGAGGCAGGAGAATCACTTGAACCTGGGAAGTGGAGGTTGCAGTGAGCCGAGATGGCACCACTGTACTCCAACCTGGGTGACAGAGGGAGACTCCGTCTCAAAAAAAAAAAAAAAAAAAAAGCATGTCTCTGAAAGTGATTTTGTGGCTAACACCCTGTTTCCCTGCCTGTCCATCACTTGCTGATGCTGAGAGCTTCCAGCCTACGAAGAGGATGTGCAGGGCCTTCGTTCACTGATAACCAGCTCTACCAGTGAAGGACTGGTTGTCTGTGCCTACCTGTGATCAGGTCTCCTTCAAGTAGATGATTATATAGCAGTTGGCAGGAATTTTTTAAAACTCAGAAACATTCATTTATACATCCAATCATTCAGCTCATGTCTGAGTCCCTGCTATATATCAGGCACAGTCAGACTATCTGGCAGTCCTTGGAAACACAGGGTGGGTGGGTAGTTTTAAGTCATATGCCTCCTGCTGAAAGACAGATTTAAGAATGTGTCTTCACAATCCCTACACCACTGCAATTTCACGTATGTGCTTCTGCTCCTGTCTTTTTTTTTTTTTTTTTTTTTTGAGATGGAGTCTCACTCTGTCACCTAGGCTGGAGTGCGGTGGCGTGATCTCAGCTCACTGCAAGCTCTGCCTCCCGGGTTCAAGCAATTCTCCTGCCTCAGCCTCCCAAGTAGCTGGGACTACAGGCACCCGCCACCACGCCCAGCTAATTTTTTGTATTTTTAGTAGAGATGGGGTTTCACCATGTTAGCCAGGATGGTCTCCATCTCCTGACCTTGTGATCTGCCCACCTCGGCCTCCCAAAGTGCTGAGATTACAGGTGTGAGCCACCACGCCCTGCCTCCTTTTTTTTTTTTGTTTAACAGGCAGAGAAATGATTAGATAATGAAGACGTTATTTATTTTTTATTTTCATAATAATGAATTAAAGAGGATCTTATGGACATTCTGAGCTTTCCCATTGTAACAGCCTCATTTATGGCAGACGCCATTTGCCTGCTGTCCACACCGTACTTAATTTGGCCTCAATCTGTATCTTTGGTGTATTAATCTCCTCATGATCCAGATAACCTCTTCTCCATTAACAATGGGGTTTTATAGCTAGGACAGTGCCTGGAAAGTTATAAGCATTATTATTTTCTATTATTATTATTTAGGAGATGTTTTGGGCAGCTTACTACATTGCACAGAAGCTATCTCATTTCCTAGGGACTTTGATGCAATAGTCAATTGTAAAATAGACTTTTCCAAAGTCATTCATTTCATCCATTCCTTTAAACACCTAATTTTTGAGTTCCTGTTATGCACAAGGTAGTCTGCTAAGACTAATGACAATGATAGGTGAATGCCACCCCTGCTATTATCATCTTTAGGGCTTTGAGAAGTTACTTGACTTTTCTCACTTCAGTTTCTTCATCTTTAAAATGAGAATAGTAATATTACTGACCTTGTGAAGATCCCCATGTTTATGCAATATGGGTATTGTTTTATCAGGCCTTTGTATTTCAGAAGTTTATAAGCCTCATGAACAGGAGCAGGGGACCAACTAGACAAGGAAAGAGGCAGATCTATTCAACAAACATGTGTTGAGTACTTACTATGCACAAAGGCAGGATATCAATATGGGGGGTAGGAATTCAATGGTGAGTAACGCTGAGACATGTGGTGGGATTTTAGAGCACACATTTTGCAAATCAAAGAGAACTTGTGAATCCCTGTAACAGCCCTAGTGAAAATTGTTAAGAATGATTCTGGCAAGTCCCATATTAGCCATATACAAATTATCCCCATTATAGACTTCCCATAGTGTATATCTCTAGTATAAAAAGCATTACAATAATCACATTTAATCCTTGTTACATTTTAAATACGCATGTCGATGCAAATTACAAATATCGAAAGGAAAATGAAGACAGAAGGAAAATAAATCAAGAAATTCATTTAGAGAAAGAAAAATCACAATATAAAACAGCCAATCTTTCTTGTTAAGAGCAGCCCTCACATTTCTAAATGTATGAATTGGTTTTGTGTTGACTGTGCCCCAACCCTGCTTATAGTATGTCAATATTGGGAGAAATCCATCACTGACACTAACATGGCAGCCCTCTGAGGAGTCAAGCCAGGGGCATCTAGAGGGGCAATGCCCAGGCTTCACTCCCCCTCCTTTTGAAAGGCTCAGGTTGCCTTATAGTCTTCCATAAAAATACTGAGGGCTTTTCCAGGACTGCTCACTGTGTGATAGGAACTTACATCTATAGGGCATGTGGTAACATGCAACTGAAAGCTTAGATTTTTTTCTAGTGATGGGTCACATTCTACACTAGGTCCATCTTGCCATTGGTGCCCTGAAGTGCTTTGTCTAGGCCAACTGATGCAGTCCACAGAGTCTAAAGACCACTCAAACTACTCATAACGTTTCTTGTGGCTGCCCATCCATTCCAGTTCTAGGAGTAGTTTAGACCATGTTCATCTCTATTAATTATCTCAAGTCTTTATGCAGAAACAGCAACAAAAATAGGCTATAGAGGTATGAGAAGTGGTTTTGAATTGTTAGTAAAGAGAGGATGCAAAAATCAGTTTGTTTGTTGTCATTTATTTCAAGCTCAATATTAGATGCCAATGTTAGGGACTATCAACATACAAAGAACATTTTTTAAAAACACTCTTAATGACACCTTAGTCAAGTGTCCAGGTTATAGGAGTTTCCAGCAAGCATCAGCTAGACCACACCTGAAGAATTATAAATAGTACTAAAAAACCAAAACATGGAAAATGAGGTCAGGAATTTGATAAGTGTCCAATATAATGATAATGAGCAAAAAGGAAGGAAGGAAGGGAGGGGAGGGAAGGGGAGGGGAGATGAGACCACTGTCCATGCAATAATCCCTTTCCCAGTGTTAACAGTTGAATTGTGTCCCCACAAAAGATATATTGTGAACGTGACATGTTTTTGACATAGAGTCTTTACAGATGTACTCAGGTTAAGATGAAGTCATTATTAGGTGGGCCCTAATTCATTATTACTGTTATCCTCATGAGAAGAGGAAAGACACAGGGACAGACACACATGGAGAGGAGAATGCCATGTGAAGACCCAGACTCAAGGAGAACACCACGTTGGGAGGGAGGCAGAGATTTAAGTGATGTGTCTACCTTCCAAAGCATGCCCAGGGTTGCCTGCAACACCAGAAGCTAAGAGAAAGGCCTGGAGCAGATTTTCCCCTAGGCCCTTCTCTCCGTTTAAATTTATTTTTAAAAATTTTTTAGAGGTGGCATCTCGGTCTGTCACCCAGGCTGAAATGCAGTGGTATAATCACAGCTCACTGCAGCCTCAATTGCCAGGGCTCCAGCAATCTTCTTGCCTCAGCCTCCGAAGTAGCTAGGATTATAGGCATGCACCACCATGCCCAGCTAATTAAAAAAAAAAAAAAAATTTCTAGAGATTTTCCTTTGTAGGAATTTTCTGTGTTGCCCAGGCTGGTCTCAAAGTCCTAGGCTCAAGTGATTCTTCTACCTTGGTCTCCCAAAATACTGGGATTACAGGTATGAGCCACCATGCGTAGCCTCCTAGAGCCTTCAGAAAAAAACGTAGTCTGCAAACACCTTGATTTCAGACTTCTAGCCTCCAGAACTGTGAGAAAATAAATCTCTGTTGTTGGAAGCCACCCAGTTTGTGGCATTTTGTCATGGCAGTCATAGGAAATTTAATGCATTCAGCAATGCTGCCAGAGATGGCCATTCCCCTCTGCCAGCACATTCCTAATGTGGTGCCAGTCTCCTAAGCCAGTCTGATGATGTTGGACAGCTCCAGGCATTTGCTGAGGGCTTCCCAAATGCTGGGCACCACTCTAAGCACTTTTTTCTTTTCTTTTCTTTTCTTTTTTTTTTTTTGAGACAGAGTTTCACTCTTGTTGCCCAGGCTGGAGTGCAATGGCACGATCGCAGCTCACCCAACCTCTGCCTCCTGGGCTCAAGTGATTCTCTTCCCTCAGCCTCCCGAGTAGCTGGGATTACAGGCATGTACCACAATGCCCGGCTAATTTTTGTATTTTTAGTAGAGACAGGGTTTCTCCATGTTGGTCAGGCTGGTCTCGAACTCCTGACCTCAGGTGATTCGCCTGCCTTGGCTTCCCAAAATGCTGGGATTGCAGGTGTCAGCCACCATGCAAGCCCACACTAAGCACTTTATCTGCATTTCCTTATGTAATCTTCACAAAAACCTATAAAATAGGTACAATTACTTTTCCAACTCTGTAAATAAAGAAACCGAGGCTTAGAGAGGATAATTAACCTGCACAAGACCACACCATTCATAAGGAGTGAACGGGAGGCAATCTGATGCTGCAGCCATGATACTCCACCTCCTGTAGAGAAAAGGGGAATGAGTGTGATGGTTAAGAGAACTGAAAGTAAGCCGGGAAGATGGAACAGAGAAGGAGGCATGGAGAAAGGTGAAAGATGTAAGCCCAGTCTTAGACTGTCCTTGTGCAGAGTATGAGAGCCAAGCTGTACATAGAGTAGACAGAGGGAGAGTCATCCACACCTCTCAAGTCAGAAAGAAAGAGAATGTGGCAAGGTGTGGTGGCGCACACCTGTAATCCCAGCACTTTGGGAGGCCTAGGCGGGCGGATCATGAGGTCAGGAGATCAAGACCATCCTGGCTAACACGATGAAATCCCGTCTCTACAAAAAATACAAAAAAATTTAGCCAGGCTTAGAGGCACGAGCCTGTAGTCCCAGCTACTCAGGAGGCTGAGGCAGGAGAATTGTTTGAATCTGGGAGGCAGAGGTTGCAGTGAGCCAAGATCATGCCACGGCACTGCAGCCTGGGCGACAGAGCGAGACTCCATCAGAAAGAGAGAAAGAGAGAAGAGAGAGAGAGAGAGAGAGAAGGAAGGAAGGAAGGAAGGAAGGAAGGAAGGAAGGAAGGAAGGAAGGAAGGAAAGAAGGAGCAGTTTTAGGTTCACAGCAAAGTACCCCCTACCCCCTACACATATAATGCAGACAAACACACACAAGCGCGCGCGCACACACACACACACACACACACACACACACACACACACAGCTTTCCCCCATGATCATTCAACACAGGGTAGTATATTTGTTATACTCATGAACCTACATTGACACATTATCATCCAAAGTCCATCATTTACATTGGGTTTACACTTGCTGTTGTACATTCTGTGGATTTTTTATTTTTTAATTTTTTTTTTGAGACGGAGTCTCGCTCTGTCGCCCAGGTTGAAGTGCAGTGGCGTGATCTTGGCTCACTGCAAGCTCTGCCTCCCAGGTTCATGCCATTCTCTTGCCTCAGCCTCCCGAGTAGCTGGGACTACAGGCGCCCGCCACTCGGCTAATTTTTTGTATTTTTAGTAGAGTTGGGGTTTCACCATGTTAGCCAGGATAGTCTCGATCTCCTGACCTCGTGATCCACCCGCCTCGGCCTCCCAAAGTGCTGGGATTACAGGCGTGAGCCACCACGCCCGGCCATTCTGTGGATTTTAACAAATGTATAATGAAATGCAGCTATCATTAGAGCATCACACAAAATAGTTTCACTGCTGAAAACTATTCTCTGTATTCCCTCCATTCAATCCTCCCCTCCCCTCAACTCCTGGCAACAACTGATCTTCTTACTGTTTTCATAGTTTTACTTTGTCCAGAATGTCCTATAGTTGAAATCATAAAGGATATAGCCCTTTCAGGTTGAGCTAATTTTATTTTAGTGATAAAAAATGTTAAATAGTATGTAGAAGAATTTAGGGATGCTGACACTGTGAAAACAAATATATTTAATTACGCTCTACTTGGAGTTTGTTTAAATCAGATGTAAATGATATTTGAGCTGATTATACCTTCTTCAAATGGAGTCTTATTTGAAAGTCTAGTATGAAGAGATATTAAAATGGAGCATGTCTGGGCAAAGGGAAAAAGAGATTAGGAGTTCCAACAACTCCACACCTCTCCCCACGCCTCATCCTCCATGATGGACCTTGGAGACTTACATGAAGCCTCCAGTGCTTCATGAAACACAGCATTAAAACCAGATTTCAGAGATTAGGACTTTAAAAATTTAGTGAATTTATAATAGAAGTATGATGAAAATGTCCTTTTCTTCCATAATAAAATGGGAAGGTACATTCTATAAAACTGTCAAAGTTTACCTGATGTTTGATTTATGCTTTTAATACCTTCACATACACTTTCTTGAGTTTGTTCAATACTAATAGTCAAAATTCAAAGAAAATTAAAGTCAACATCTTTTTACTTGTTGAACACATTAAGTCACTGTGATCTACATGTAATTCCATCCTCTCCAAATTAAAATTAAAATTAAAGTTGGATTGACTGGTATACAGATTACAGTTCATGAAGTCTCGTTATATAACCTTTGAACCAAAGTTTATCTTATAAACACGTAAGATAAATGTCAAACGGGAAAGTAAAAAAGATTTTATAAAGGAAAATAGAAGAACTGAAGGCACAGGATAAATCTACATGAAAAAAACAAAGAGCGTTTTTAAACACTTCTTCATGTGAATTCAGGTGATAATACAATGGAGTTATTTTACTCTTAAGACAGATTGACATATTTAAACATAGTTCTGATGATGTGGAGATGTCTACAGAATATATTTCCTCTCTAATTTAAATTATTTATAATTGCATAGTTAGTTACAAAGAATAAAATCAAATTAATTACTAATAAATGCCAGAGAAACATGTTTAAATTGACATTCACTTCCAAAGTCAGCTCCTGCATAATCACCACAAATTTTTAATATTTGCTACAATATGACAATAAAACAATTGCGTATATTACAGAGTAGAAGAAACTCCTTCAAAGATAAATATGCATTTATTCTATTTAGTTGTAGAATGATAAAGATAATTTTTTTAGAATGGTCTAAGGATAACTTTTTCAAGAAAAAAGATGAAAAATGTTCTGTTCCCCCAAACTATCATAAGCCTGCCAGCCACACCTCTGCCTTATCATATTCAACCTGAGTAGATGACAGTCGCCACTTATGCCATATTGAGAAAAACTCTGATGGTCTGATTAGATTCATTGAAATACTTTCAGTATTAGTAGCTAAATAGGGTTCTTTTTAAAGTTTAATTTAACCTAAGAGTTGTAAAAATGAAATAAATATTATTTTAAATATTGTAGAATAAGTCAAACACTTTTAGTTTCAAATGGATTGTCAAGATAACTGATGTACTCCGTAAATATATACATCTACTATGTGTTCACAAAAATTTTTTTAAAAAGAATTGGTAGGCATAGGCTAGTAAATTGACCAATATCTTCATTTGCTTAAAATAAATTTCTAAAACCAAGTTGTTCCTTGAGACATATGCAATATCTTCAGAATTTCATGCCATAAGATTAACTATACTTGATCAATAAACTTTGAAATTTTAAAATAAATACAGAAAAGTTCTTTCTCAATTCAGAAATAACTACTGATATTCCCTGGGTGACTTTTTTCTCAGACAAGTTAGAAAACCACCAATTTGACTAGATTGGGAAATTCCTTAAAAGGAAATTAGTGCAATGGCCGAGACCTTGACTCTGGGATCTCCTAAGTTAGAGTCCCAGGACTACCTACCGATTATCAATTAAATATGCAGTCTTGGTGATATGGTTTGGCTGTGTCCCCACTCAAATCTCATCTTGAATTGTAGCTTCCATAATTCCCACATGTGGTGGGAGGGACCTGGTGGGAGATCATTGAATTATGGGGCAGTTTTTCCCATACTGTCCTCATGGCAGTGAATAAGTTTCACAAGATCTGATGGTTTTATAAGTGGTTTCCCCTTTTGCTTGGCTCTCATTCTATCTTGCCTGCCACCATGTAAGATGTGCCTTTCACCTTCCACCGTGATTGTGAGGCCTCCCTAGCCATGTGAAACTGTGAACCCATTAAACCTCTTTTTCTTTATAAATTACCCAGTCTCGGGTAATTAGCAGCATGAGAACAGACACTCCTAATATACTTGGGAAAATTATATAACCTCTTTAAACCTCAATTTCTCAAAGTGAGGGATGGTGAACAGCAGGGCGAGGATGAGAAAGAAGATGCTAGTGTAAGTAATAGTACCTCCTTCACAAAGCTATAATATAGATTATATGAAATTATGTGTAAAATGCATGTAACATAATCAGAAGTGTTAGGTTTTACTGCTACTCATGAGTAGCTTATTTATTTATTTTTTCTCATTAGAAGAAAACTTTAAAGCGATGAATTGTCTTGGTGAAAAGTATTAGGAGACTCTTGGCTATGGGTAAAAATGTCAGAAAACAATCTATAGGCTAGAGTCAGTGCAAAGGAAGTTATGTTTTTGGTAGCCTAATATAAATGTAGGTCGTGTTTCCTGATGTCAGCAACATTCTAAGAGGCGGTCAGTTACTCTCACACTTGGAACTGCTCTACCTGACTATGTAGTGGGTTTTGGGAGAGTCCTAAAAACCACATCTTATAATGTGTCTTCTATAAAATGTTCCACAGAGTTTTTTATAAAACCTTTAAATCGGCCGGGTGCGGTGGCTCACGCCTGTAATCCCAGGACTTTGAGAGGCTGAAGGGGGCAGATCACCTGAGGTCGAGAGTTTGAGATCAGCCTGACCAACATGGAGAAACCCCGTCTCTACTAAAAAAATACAAAATTAGCTGGGTGTGGTGGCACACACCTGTAATCCCAGCTACTCAGGAGGCTGAGGCAGGAGAATCGCTTGAACCCAGGAGGCAGAGGTTGCAGTGAGCCGAGACTGCGCCGTTGCACTCCAGCCGGGGCAACAAGAACGAAACTCCATCCCAAAAAAAAAAAAAAAAAAAAAAAAAAACCTTTAAATCTTTATATGTGATCTGTTTATGTATTGAGTTCTGCTCTTATTGATCATGTGTGTCCATAGAGGCAAGATAGAGCAGTCAAATTGTGATGACCAGTATGAGCTGCATTTGAAGTTCAGCTACACAGAATTTTAGAAAGGGATAGAAGAGATATTATTCACATAAATATTTAAAGACTAATTGGACACTATAGGGACAGCATGTAACATGGAGGTGAGGAGAAGGACTCCTCCCAATGCTTCAACAAGAACACAGCTGTGTAGATACCATCTAACGCTGCCTCTTTTTCAGAAAAGAATATCCTACAAACTCAGGTTTTACTATCAGTATCACAAAATAATAACATTATTATGAAATAATGTGATTTAAACAATATTTAAAGATATGAAAGGTACAGTTTCAAAATACAAAGTGTTATACAGGTCCAGCCATTTAGAGATAGACTAATCCATTATCTACTAACTTCTGGTTTTTGCAAATAGTATACTAGAATTCATCCTGTAAGTATTAAATTTTATAAATATCCAAAATGCCTGTATTTTGCCAAAAAGTAAAGCCACCCTATTTCAAATTTTTTAATCTCAGTACCTACTTTTAGGTAAGCCCATTGTAACCACAAAGAAAATACATACAGAGCAGTGTTCCCCAGCCTTTTTAGCACCAAGGGACAGTTTTATGGAAGACAATTTTTCTATGGACCAGGGTTGGTGGGGGATGGTTTGGGGACAAAACTGTTCCACCTCAGATCATCAGGCATTAGTTAGAGTCTCATAAGGAGCACACAACCTAGATCCCTTGCACACGCAGTTCACAATGGGGCTCAAGCTTCCATGAGAATCTAATGCCGTCACTGATCTGACAAGAGGCGGAGCTCAGGCGGGAATGCTCACTCGCCCGCCTCACCTCCTGCTGCATGGCCTGGTTCCTAACAGGCCACAGACTGGTACCGGTCCATAGCCTGGGAGTTGGGAACCCCTGTATAGAGCACATACAAAAGAAAAACAGAAAGAAAAAAAAACAGGAAAGGAGAAATGGGACAAAATAAATACAAGACAAACAAACAAACAAAAAAGGTTAACAAAATGGCAATAGTAAGTCAATAATTACCTTAAATGAAAATAGACTAGACTCCCCAATCAAAAGACAGAGTGACTGAATGGATTTGAAAACAACAACGACAAAAGATCCAATTAAATACTGTCTACAGGAGACTCACTTTAAGTTTAAAGACACACATAGGCTGAATGTGATAGGATGAACAAATGATAATCTATGCAAATGGCAACCAAAAGAGAGCAGGAGTGGCTATACTTAGAATAGATTTTAAGTCAAAAACTGTCATAAGAGACAAAAAAGGACACTATATAATAATAATATCAGCAGAAGGAAGGCTAATTCACCAAGATGTAACAATTTTATATGCACCCAGCATCAGTACCTCTAAATATATGAAGCAAACACTGATGGAACTGAAGAAAGAAATACAATATTAGAAGACTTGCATATCCCACTAAATAGCAGATAGACATTCAGACAGACAAATCAATAAGAAACTATAGACCAAGTGGACCTAACGGACATACACAGAACATCCCACCCAACAGTGACAGAATTCACATCCTTCTCAAACACACACAGAACATTCTCCAGGATAGATCTCATGTTACGTCACAAAACAAGTTTCAATAAACCTAAGATTAAAATCATACCAGGTATCTTTTCTGATCACAATGGAATGAAATCAAAAATAAATAACAGAAAGAAAACTGAAACATTTACAAATGTATGAAAATTAAATGAAATACTCTTGAACAATGAATAGGTCAAATAAATAAATCAAAAGGGAAATTAGAAAATGTCTCACGACAAATAAAAATGAAAACACAACATACCAAAATGAATGCAATACAGCAAAAGCAATTTTGAAAGAGAAATGTATAGTAATAAACAGCTGCATAAGAAAAGAAGAACGCAAATCAACAACCTAACATACCTCAAGAAACTAGAAAAAGGAAAACAAACTTAGCCCAAAGTTAGCAGAAGGAAGAAATAATGTAGATTAGAGCAGAAATAAACAGAGTAAAAAAAAAATAGAAAAACTTGAAGAAATATTTTCTAAAAAGATAAACAAAATTGACAAACTAAAAAAAAAAGAGAAAAAAACTCAAATAAATAAAATAAAAAATGGAAAAGGAGACATTACAACCTGATGGCTTCAATGCTGAATTCCACCAAAAATTTAAAGAACTTATGCTAATCCTTGTCAAGATCTTCCAAAAAATTAAAGAAAAGGGGATACTTTCAAACTCATTTTATAAGGCCAGCATTTCCCTGACACCAAAGCCAGACAAGAATATTACAAGAAAAGAATACTACAGGCCAATATCCCTGCTGAACATAGATGCAAAATTCCTTAATAAAATACTAGCAAACCAAATTCAACAGCATATCAAAAAGATCATACACCACAACCAGGTAGGAAGAAGGATGTTTCAACATAAATAAATCAATTAATGTGCTGCACTACATTGCCAGAATGCCTAGGAATAAACTTAAGAAGGTGAAAGACTTGTATGCTGAAAACTATGAAACATTGATGAAAAAAATTAAAGATGAAAATAAGTGGAAAGACGTCCCACGTTTATGACAGGAAAACTTAATATCATTAAAATGTCCATACTACCCAAAGGAATTTAGAGTTTCAATGCAATCCCTATCAAAATTCCAATAACATTCTTTTTTCTTTATTTTATTTTATTTATTTATTTATTTATTTTGAGACAGGGTCTCATTATATCACCCAGGCTGGAGTGCAGTGGTGCGATCTCAGCTCACTGCAACCTCCGCCTCCCGTGCTCAGGCGATCCTCCTGCCTCAGCCTCACAAGTAACTGGAACTACAGGTGCATGCTACCAGGCCCAGCTAATTTTTTTATTGTTTGTAGAGATGAGGTCTCACTATATTGCCCAGGCTGATCTCAAACTCCTGGGCTCAAGTGATCCACCCACCTTGGCCTTCCAAACTGCGAAACTTACAGGCATGAGCCACTGTGCCCGCCCCAGCATTTTTTACAGAAATAGAAAAAACAATTCCAAAACTCATATGGAAACACAAAGGATCCCAAATAGCTAAAACAATCTTGAGAAAAAGAACAAAGCTGGAGGCATCACACTTCTTGATTTCAAAATATATTCTGAAGCTTCAGTAATTAAAACACTAAGGTACTGTCATAAAGACAGCTTTATAGACCAGTGGAAAGAGGGCCCAGAAATAAACCTGTGCATATATGACCAACTGATCTTCAATAGAGATGCCAAGAACAGACAATGGGGAGAGGATGATTTCTTCAATAAATAGTGTTGGGGCATTGTATATCCACATACAAAAAGAACAAAATTAAACCCTTACTGTACACCATACATAAAAATCAACTCAAAATTAATTAAAGACTTAAACGTAAGACCTGAAACTGTAAATCCTTAGAAGAAAACGTAGGGGAAAATCTTCATGACATTGGTCTTTGCAATGATTTCTTGGATATGACACCAAAAGCACAAACAACAAAAGCAAAAACAGAGCAAGAGGTATACTATGTCAAACTAAAAAACTTCTGTACAGCAAAGGAACAATCAATACAGTGAAAAGGCAACCTGTAGAATGAGACAAAATATTTGCAAACCACATATCTGATAAGGCATTAATTTCCAAAATATATAAGGAACTCCTCCAACTTAAGAGTAAAAAAGCAAACAAACTGATTTTTAAATGAGTAAAAAATTTGAATAGACATTTATCCAAAGAAGATATACAACTGGGCAATAGATACATAAAAAGATTGTTCAACATCACTAATCATAGGGAAATGAGAATGAAAACCATAATGAGATATCTCACACCTCTTAGGGTGGCTATTGGTTTTTATTTGAGGGGGTTTGTTTGTTTGTTTGTTTGTTTGTTTGTTTGTTTGTTTTGAGACAGAATCTTGCTCTGTCTCCCAGGCTGGATGGCTATTGTTTTAAAAAAAAAAGTTACTTGGTGTTATTAAGGCTGTGGAGAAATTGGAACCCTTGTACATTGTTGGTGAAAATAAAAAATGGTGCAGCTGTGTATATATATGTATGGAAAACTGTATAGAATGTTCTCAAAAAAATTAAAAGTAGAGTTGCCATATGATTTAATAAGTCCACTTCTGGCCATTTACTCCCCCAAAATTAAAATTAGAATCTTAAAGAGATATATGGACCCCATGTTCACTGCAGCAATATTCACAGTAGCCAAGATGTGGAAATAACCTAAATGTCTATCAAAAGATGAATGGATACAGAAAATATGGTATATATGTATATATGAATGGATACAGAAAATGTGAGATAGATAGATAGATAGATAGATAGATAGATAGATAGATAGATAGATATAACAGAATATCATTCAGCCTTAAGAAAAAGGAAGTCCTGGCTGGGCGTGGTGGCTCACACCTGTAATCCCAGCACTTTGGGAGGCCAAGGCAGGCAGATCACTTGAGGTCAGGTGTTCGGGACCAGCCTGACCAACATGGTAAAACCCTGTCTCTACTAAAATACAAAATTAACCAGGCATGGTGGTGGGTGCCTGTAATCCCAGCTACTGGAGAGGCTGAGGTGGGAGAATCGATTGAATCCAGGAGGCAGAGGTTGCAGTGAGCCAAGATCGCACCATTGCACTCCAGCCTGGGCAACAGAGTGAGACTCTATCTCAAAAAACAAAAAGAAAGAAAAAGAAAAAGGAGTCCTGCCATAAGTGACAATATAGATGAATCTTGAGAACATTATGCTAAGTGAAATAAGTCAACCACAGAAGGCAAATACTGCATGATTCCATTTATGTGAGGTATCAACAATAATCAAACTCATAGAAGCAAAGAGTAGAATGCTGGTTGCCAGGGGCTGGCAAGAGGGGAATACGGGGACTTGCTATTCAATGGGTATAAAGTTTTAGTCATGCAAGATGGGTATACAACGTAGTGCTTACGGTTAACAATACTGTACACTTAAAAATTTGAGAGAGTAGATCTCATGTTACCTGTTCATACTACAGTTAGAGTATTAGTCCTTTTTCACACTGCTGATAAAGATATACCCAAGACTGGGTAATTTAAAAAAGAAAGAGGTTTAATTGGGCTTACAGTTCCAAGTGGCTTGGGAAGCCTCACAGTCATGGCAGAAGGCAAGGAAGAGCAAGTCAAGTCTTACTTGGATGGCAGCAGGCAAAGAGAGAGAACTTGTGCAGGGGAACTCCTCCTTTTAATACCATCAAATCTCATTAGACTTATTCACTATCATGAGAACAGCATGGGAAAGACCTGCCCCCATGATTGAATTACTGCCCACCAAGTCCCTCCCACAACATATGGGAATTCAAGATGAGATGTGGGTGGGGACACAGCAAAACCAGATCAAATAGAAATAGAAATCAAAATAGACAAACAAAAAACTAGAAAGAATCTGAGAGCCTATACTTCAAGGTGTTTTACCTAAGAGATCTGAGGAAATTACAAACATGATCACCAGCACTGAAATCTTGAACTTGGATCAAAGTAACCCTACATAACCACAAAATGACAGGGATATAAGTCTCAGAGACTTTAAATGAATATAACAGGTTCTTGTAGATAACTCATATACAGAGATCCAAAAATGAAAAACTTGTTTTACATCCTATTCACAATATGTGTAGTACCCTTTTCCCAAATACTTGACTGATAAAAATACATACAGATTTTTAACTTATCCAGTCTATTACAGTTTATTTGCCAACTCTTAGTTCCCTCTTGTGCTACGTTTAAATTTATAAGATGAGTACAGAGACTTTTTGAATAACTAATTTAATTAATGAATTTTAAAGTTAACTTTTGTAGAGTTTTAGATACGTCCTTTGGTCATACAGTTTAGAAATTACATTGAAAAGTAATCTAATGCAAAGTTTTTTGTTTTTTTTTTTAATTTAAAAGGTTTGAGTAAATCTTTCTTTCTTTTTTTTTGAGGTGGAGTCTCATTCTGTCGCCAGGCTGCAGTGCAGTGGTGCGATCTCGGCTCACTGCAATCTGTGCCTCCCGGGGTCAAGCGACTCTCCTGCCTCAGCCTCCAGAGTAGCTGGGATTACAGGCACACGTCACCACACCTGGCTAATTTTTGCATTTTTAGTAGAGACGGGGTTTCACCATGTTGGCCAGAATGGTCTTGATCTCTTGACCTCATGATCTGCCCGCCTCAGCCTCCCGAAGTGCTGGGATTACAGGCGTGAGCCACTGCGCCCAGCCGAGTAAATCTTTCTTTAAAAATTACTGAAGCTGAGTTTAATATACTGTATTTATTTGCATCAACTCAAAATTGAATTTTATGCCACCTTTTTGGTCAGTTGTGAATTGAAATTTTATAACTGAAATTGTTTACAAGATTATGTTAAAGTAGGGCTGAGAGAATGAATTTTAAAGTATGATTCAAGGTTATAGATTAAATTATGTTCTTATATATTTTAGTCACTTTTTGAACTATTACAAATATCTAGTAAATTTTTTAATGCTCTGCCCCTTTAATTCTGGTCATGTAATTTAGGACTGAAAGGTGAGCTTTATCTTGGAACAATATTATCTTTCATTTATATGATAGCAAAAAAATTAACTATACTGCCTTTATTCAAAAGTGCTTAAAAACAACTATATGTTTACTCTCTCCACTTCATTATTTTCTTCCTCAGTGCAAATATGTTTATCTGGAAATAATGTATGCATTGTAGCATGCAGAATGTCAAGCTATTTTAAGAGATGCAACATAATGCTTGCTATAAACTCTTATATTCAGTCCTCATTTCATAAAACTCTCATGTTTAACTTGAACATGCTTTCATGTAAAAGCTCAACTTAAAAGTGTGCCTGTTTGGATGATAAGAAAAAAAAGCAAACAAATAAAATAACTACACCTATCTTGTACTCTTTAAAATATATATGTTGGTTTTTAAAAATAATTGCACTAAGCTAAACATGAGAACCTCTATATTAGCAACTTACATTAAAAGCAAGTCTTTTTTGGGAAAGCAAAATAAAATTAAAAGACACATGATTTTAGATCACTGATCTGAGTACACAGATCTAATCTCTTTGCCAGGGTTGTGTATACTGTACACGACATTTATTTTATTTTTTTTTTTTTGCACTCACTTATTTTGATCCAGTGGATCTTGACCTATTATCAAGAGTGAGTGAATATTGCTAGAAGTGGTCACTTCAGTATGACTTAATCTGAAGACAGAGAAAAACTGGTTATAAAAGAGGAAATATATTAGAAAGGAGAGTATTTTTGTATCTAGCAACCTGGAATATGAATGTAAAAGAGAATAAACAGTTCAACACAGAATGATAAAGGGTGCCATTGAGAGGGTCTTCTGGAGTTGGTTTTGCTTCATTCAACTATGAAATGACTACATGTATTCATTTATCCCTCCCCTCCCTCATTTTGAGGGTATAATAAATGTGTTTCTCCTTTTTCTCCTCTTTCTTCAACTCTATCTCCTTGAAAGAGAATAAACAACTAAAAACAATGCTGCACCCCCACTCACCTTGATAAGCAGCATGAGTCTATTAAATTAAGCATGCTTGACACTCAAACACCAATTTTAGGGACAGAGTGCTCAAAATAGAAAGCACAATGGTGACATCCTGTTACCGTCTCTTTGTGCCCTTGGACTCATAAATAAAGTTCTGCAGGTTTCTGTGCTCCCTTGATACAAAATAAAGAAAAGTGAATGAGTTAGAACAAGCTCTGGCAGCCATCAGTAATGTTGCACCCCATTGCTGCAGGACAGGAGACATCCAATTATGGAGCAAGGTCAGCCTCAGTCTCTACCAGTATTTTCTCTGGTGGTCAAGAGACCCTCACCCCCTCACCACCACCACCACCACCACCACGATTCCCTTCTACCTGATGGTGCTCCGGGACTTTATTTTTGGATCCTTCACTGCTTGACTTAAGAGGAGGAAGACATGATAGGCCAGTCAGTCTTGGCTGGGTTGTGGGAAAAGTGAGAGGACAGAACCAGATTGGTCAGTTTGTGAATCTTGTGATCAGCTACTTTTAGAATTTATTTGTTGTTAAGTTTGACCAACAAATTTCCATATCCTTCATGTTTTCTCACAAAGATCTTTAAATTGCCTTTCCCAGCTTCCCACCTAAATACATTCAACCATCATAACACATTCCAAAATACAGTGGTTGCCCATGGTTTGCCCAATACTGGGCAATAGGCACTCAGATCCCAGTTAGTGACCAATATACCTATGGGACACAAATCATATCAATGAGGCACAGCTGCAGGGTGCATGTCTACTAAGGATACTGCTCATCTGAACCCTCAGACTATACATTCTGGTACCTTAGTTCTGTCTCTTGGTGCCCTTTCCTGCGGGTAACCCACATTCTTATTCTCTCTCCATGCGGCATGGGCACTCTCTCTCCTGCCTGAGTCATAGTTCCTGGAGCAGACTCCACCCCCATGTTTCAGATCCTGCCTGAGTCCACTGAATGAAAGCAACAACTCCTGCGTGTCACTCACAATTCCCTGGATGATACTAAAAAGCAATCTTTCTCTCATTTTCGAAACCCCTTTGAGATATTAATGACTTCCTAGATTTTTTTCAGGACTTAGAGATTATTTCAGAAATAATCATATAATAAGAAGCATTTTGAATTGGAGACTCAAATTGCTCTTTAGATCATACTATATAATCTTAATGATGATGACGATGATAATAGTAGCTACCATTGAACAAATGCCTACTATGCTAGGTGCCTTCTATCTTAACCATGGTTAATTCTCAGGGGCAGTCCTCAAAAGTTAGGATATTGTTCCTATTTCTCAGGTGGGGGAAATGACTTTCAGCAGGAGTAACTATTTTTATTCATCTTATAGCTTTAAATTGGCAGCTAGATTTTGACCCCATGTCTGACTCGAATTTCATTTTATTTCCACAACACCATTCACTGCGTAGAGATAAGAACTGTGAGCTGGTCTAATAATTTTTTCTTCCTGCAATAGAAGTCCTTTTCTAAAATTTGGGTCAACTCTCAGCACTCGTAAAAATATGCATATAAAAAGGGAAAGAAATGGAGGAAAATATTTTCCCATTAAATACTAAGACCTACTATACACTAAGCTACAGTATTTAAAGCACACAATACTAGGACCAATTGGATGGATTATGATAAAGAGACTAGACACTGACCCATACATAAAAGAACTTGGAATATTATAGAGGAAACACGAAGAATTAATGAAAAAAGGAAAATAAATGATGTTGCATTAATTGAATTTCAATATTTGAAAAAGTAAAATAGCTTTCCCTCCTGAAACAAACAAAAAATTCAGGGAGATATTGGATCTCAATGAAAAGAACATTTAAATATATTAAAAAACAAAACTTTAAATATATTACAGGAATATGAAGATAATACCTTTATGATATCTGGGTAACAAAAGGCAAACCACGTAAATTAAGTAAAGCAGGATTTTTTTTAAGTAACTAAACTGGTACAATTTATAAAGTACACATACTCCTTTGAAAAAGTAGGTCTCATGTGAATCTGCTCAAATTCCAGGGCTGTATTCACTTTCACCAAACACTAATGACCTGAGGCTATTGTATTTTTCTAGTTTTCCTGTTAAAAAGAGACATGAGAGTGTTGACTCTCAGGTGTGAGATCTTGACTGATCCCACACCTAGCCCAACTGGAGGCTTAAGGCTACTCATCACAGAGTCCTTCTGGAGCCAAGATAAATGCCTATGAATCTCAACTTTTATTCACAGCTTTCAATATTAGATTTTTTAATATTAGATTTTAATATTTTTCAATATTAGATTTCATCATTTCCTGTGCCCATTTCCCTAGCTCAAGGGTTCACTTATCTTTGATAAGTTTATTGGCTAGATGTATGTACGATGACTCACTCTCCATCACATAAAACATACAATTTTGACAGTTGATAAAAAGATGTTCGCATAAACTATAATCATATAATTAAATATGTACCAGAAACCTAAAAAATAGGGAAGAGGGAAGCTGATAGTATTTTACTCACATTTAACTAAAAAGCCATACATTTTAAATCTATGAGGTAAGAAGAAAAATCAGGAAATCTGCCTGAACCCATTAGTGACTATTCATGTAGGATTTTTTTTTTTAATTTTATTTTTTTTGAGACAGGCTGTGGCCCAGGCTGGAGTGCAGTGGCACGATCTCAGCTCACTGCAACCTCTGCCTCCCGGGTTCAAGCGATTCTTCTGCCTCAGCCTCCTGAGTAGCTGGGATTAGAGGCACCTGCCACCACACCTGGCTAATTTTTGTATTTTTAGTAGAGATGGGGTTTCACCATGTTGGCCAAGCTGGTCTCGAATTCCTGACCTTGTGACCCACCCATCTCTGCCTCCCAAAGTGCTGGGATTACAGGCGTGAGCCACCACGCCTGGCCTCATGTAGAATTTTATGGTCACAAGCCTGTAGTTCTAGCAGGGAAACTCAACACATAAAAAGGAGGCCTTTAAATGCATTGTCAAGAATGACGAAAGGAGCTAAGTATCATTATATTCTGATCAAAAGAAAAGGCAAGTGTCCATTTCCAATCTCTCTTTCTCTCTCTCTCTCTCTCACACACACACCCCCCAGCAGATTTGTAAAGAAAGGTAAATAAATCCCCCATACAAAAAGTTTCCTTTTTTCCCCACTTGGGTCTGAGAGTTGTTCAGTTTAACCTGAGTTGCCATTAGTGTCCTTCGAAGCTATAAATTTTGCTTTTCCATGCAATTGTTTCAAAACAAAGAAAATCTGTGACTTTAAAATTACTTTAGAGCCAAGCATGGTGGCGGGTGCCTGGGGTCACAGCTACTTTGGACACTGAGGCAGGAGCATTGTTTTGAGCCCAGGAGTTCTGCGTGGTAGTGCACTGTGCTGATAGGGTAGTCGCACTAAGTTTGGCGTCAATATGGTTAATTCCTGGGAGCGGGAATCATCAGTTTGCCTAAGGAGGGGTGAACCAAGCCAAGTGAGAAACGGAGCAGGTCAAAATTTCCATTCTGATCGGCAGTGGGTTCCACCTGTGAATAGCCACTGCACTCCAGTCTGGATACCATAGCAAGACCCTGTCTCTTTAAAAAAAAAAAAAAAAAAAAATGGCTTTAGAAGCAATTTTACACCCTAACTTACCAATATAGGTAGCGGTCCGACTTTATCGCCACAGGAGGAAAAAATAAAAAGCAGAGTAAAACTTACAGAGCAATGGTAGATACAATACGATCAATACAATCTTCAAACCCAACTTCACTGAGCATGAGTTTCTACACATAAAAGAGATTCTTTCATTATTTCTTTTTTAATTATTTATTTATTTATTTATTTTTGAGACACAGTCTAACTCTGATGCCCTGGCTTTGAGTGCAGTGGCGTGAACACAACTCTCTGCAGCCTTAACCTTCTGGGCTCAAGGGATTCTCCCACCTCAGCCTCCTGAGTAGCTGGGACCACAGACAAGCGCCATCACACCTGGCTAATTTTTTAAATTTTATGTAGAGACAAGATCTCCCTGTTGCCCAGGATGGTTGGTCTAGAATTCCTGGGCTCAAGCGATCCTCCCACCTCGGGCACCAAAAGTGCTGGAATTACAAGGCATAAGCCATCATAACCGGTCCAAGAAAATCTTTTAGAAAACCCCATCAAACAAATCACCATACTATTTAACTGTAAGTCCAAACAATAGTTTCAATCGTAATATTTGAAGCAACTAGTATAAAAAGAGAAACTCATAAGCTAGCTTACATTTCTGTTGTCAAAGAGTAATTTATCCTTGCTGGAGTTGGTTTGGAGGTATTAATAGCCGGAATTATCCCAACAATATTCTGGCAAGAAACTATACACGTACTTTCTGATGTGCTCTGATGTGGCCACAGTCTGGCGCTGAGAGTAGCTCCAACATGAGGGACTGAAGCAAAAGGGTTTCCCAAAGAAGCACTGTGCCCCGGAGACTGGAAGGAGAATTTGAGGAAGACATTAGGATGAGGCATCTCAGGGGTGTAAGAGAGAGACCCTGGAAGGCATTTGGGGCCATGACTTAATTATAAGCTAGGAATTGCGTGTGTAGAATTTACAAAGTAAACAAAATGGCAGCCGAGGGTGGGGATAGTTCACACCCTTAGTAAAGGCTCGACATTATAGAATCTGCCTCATACTAGGATTCCCAGTAGCTTTTCTGGAAATAGGTCTCCTTCCTCTCCTGCCAGCCCTAAAATAATATTGGTAACACACACACCAACTTCTAGAGAGCACTCACAAAAAAAGTTGTCACCGCCAAGTGACCTCACTGCTTCTCCCTGGAGAGCTTTGCAGACAGAAAATAGCTCTGTGTCTTTATAAACAAATCACTCTGTGAATGGCAGTGGGTACACAAACATGTCGATTCTCTTCCAGAGTTCTTACTCGCTCAATTGCCAGGTTTGCTTCTATTTTGGTTACAGAATTAAAATGTAATTAGTTGTGTTTTTAATGAGTCCAAATGTGACACATTAAGATTCAGTAATTACTCTAAAATGATAAGCTGTGATTGAATGTCCCCATAAACAAGGGACATTTAAAGGCAGTACCATTTCTTGCTCAGTTGTTACTGCTTTTAAAACCGTCACTCTTTCCTGGGTGAATACAGTTTTAGGATTTAAATGATTACGCTGGATTATTGCACATATTTACAGTCAGAGCCAGCTATACCGACATATTTAAAGTGTGTACGTTCTTTGATCATGTGGCCATGTCTACCTAAGAACCTAATAACTGACTTTACTGAATGTTGGCTGTCCAGGTTAGTACCTCATTATGACTTACTGGCTTTTAAGACACGTTTATTTTATGTGGCATCAGTTTTTCTCTTCAACCTGATGCAAGACCTCACTGCTATTTCTGAGGTTCTTTATGTCCTTAGTGTTTGGCAGGGCTCACATCAGGTCTAGAAAAGTGGTGCTAGAGGTTCAAGATCCAATACAACAATGGCAGCAGTAATTGATGCACTTGCCCCATACGGAAATCTGATCTCTTAACCCACCTGTTTCCTAGGCTAACTGAATCAGCAGCATGTCAGTAGCTGCCAATGCTGATCAATTTCCTAGTGACATTGGTAACTTAAAAAACATTGAAATAGTTAAGTTCGTTGTAGAAGTAAGCCTTTCATCCTACAGCAAATCAAAAACAAACAAAATGGATAAATGTTTTCTGATAACTTTTAAAACAGTTTACCTAAGAGGAGGAATTGTAAAAACTTAAACATAAATTGAGATCATCCCACCTGATTTTTTAATATTCGTAGGAAGCCTGTTCATGATATTCCAGTCAACTACTCTAGAATCCTATTTTGGTATCTCAGTATCTCGTGCAGCAGTGAATAGCACTGCTCAATATTTTAGAGGCTTCATATTTCCTTAGAGTCACAATTGTCACCCTAAAATTTAGATCTAATAATCCTACTACTGTCCTGTGTAGGAAAAAATACAGAAAGCATATACTTCTTATTTCCCAGCCTTCAAGTATGTGAAGACTGCTATCAAGACCACTGTGTCTTACTGGCCAGGCGCAGTGGCTCACGCCCGTAATCCCAGCACTTTGGGAGGCCGAGGTGGGCGGATCACGAGGTCAGGAGATCGAGACCATCCTGGCTAACACGGTGAAACCCCATTTCTACTAAAAATAAAAAAACTTATCTGGGTGTGGTGGCGGGTGCCTGTAGTCCCAGCTACTCGGGAGGCTGAGGCAGGAGAATGGCATGAACCCGGGAGGCGGAGCTTGCAGTGAGCTGAGATCAGGCCACTGCACACCAGCCTGGGCGACAAAGCGAGACTCCATCTCAAAAAAAAAAAAATCCCCGCTTCCAACAGCAGTTCTCCTGGAACCCTACCTTCCCCTGAATTTTGTCATATTTATCAATGCCTTTCTTATGGCAACCAGAAGTATATAGAGCAGTTCAGTTCACAAAGGGCTGTAAATACAGTAGGACAATACCTATCTCACTTTACTTTGGACAACCAGATGCTTCAAAAC